>NW_017363818.1:0-246895 GCF_000001405.40 Homo sapiens | reverse complement strand
GAATTCAATGAGCTAACATAACAAATCACCCCAAGGTGCATATGTGAGTTCTCATAAGATCAACTTGGTTTCCAATATTAAGTCTCATGTCAGATCATGTTTCAGATCATAAATACAGTTTAACTTTGGGCTTAGAAAATAAGGTGACTGGTAGTATGTGACAGAAGAAATAGCACAGAGTTTGTCAGGGAAAACGAGCGCTCTTCTTGAAAGTGCTACCATTGGGGACTTGAATGTGCTATTTTGTATCTCTATCCCCTTAAATATAAATAAAAAACGTTGAATTAGATTTATTATTTTAATATTTAAAGATCTAACCCCCTTTTTTAAAGTACAGAAAAGAACGGCTAATAATAGAATACTCACTTTTGGAGCCAAATTAAAAATAATAACTATCCATTTATAGTTATTTCATGATATGTCAGAAATGGTTCATGTGTTTTGTTTATATTAACTAATTTAATCCTCACCAAAATTTCATTTAATCCAGATATAGAAACTGAAATACGGGGAGATTGAGTGCTACAGGTTGTAAATATAGCCTGGGATTTGGATCTGAAAAACTTGACTCTACAGTCTTTGAACTTCATCAGCTTGCTATGGTTCTTCACATATTTTAACATATTTGCTTCAGATATTTTTGTTTTAAAAATTAAATTTGAAGTTTCTGTTTCATTCTCCAGAGAAAAGAAATATCATGAATGTGGTATGTATTTCACTGATGGACATTTGAGCTTTTTTATTACAAATAATTTTATCAACATTTTTATATACTCCCTTCTGAATATGTACAAGGTATTTTCCTAGAAATGGAATTGCAGTGGCAAAGTATATTTATATCTTCATATTTATCAAATATCACCAAACAATTTTTCAAATGTTGATATTCTGCCAAAATCAAGGTATAAATGTCACTGTTTAATATCTGTAGCAATATTGAATAGTACTTAATTTTTAAAATATGTGTTATGTTTGCACTCCCAAATTATTGGTGACACTGTATATTTTTTCATAAGTTTATTGGCTATCTTTATTTTTATTTCTATGAGTTGTCCTTTCACAATCTTCCTGTTTTTCTTTGTAATTGTTTTCCTTTTCTTAAATATTTGTAAGTGTAATTCATACCTTGTTGGTTTTATGTTTTGCAAACATCTCTTAACAATCTGTATTTTGACTTTTAATTTTGTTTATTGTCTCATTCTTAATAGTAGTTTTATTTTTGTTGTGATCAAATTTTGTAAGGTTTTTCTTTATGCTTTCTGATTTTTGTGTTTTCTTTATACAATTCTTTTATGCCTCAAGATACTAACCATATTCCTATATATCTCTAATTTTTTTGTTTCTCACATTTGAATACATACATCTTCTGAGATACATGTTTTGTATAGTGTGTTATAGGGAGATTTAAGGCCAAGTGTACCAACAATACTAGTTATTGAGTAATCTTCAGTCTCTAAATTAAATTCTAATACCTCCTCCATTCTCAAAAAGTTCTCATATATGCTGTAATCTGTTTCTGAAACTCCTGTTCTGTCATCCTGGTCTATTTACTTATTCCTGTGACAAGACCACATTGTATTAACTAGTAAAGCTTCATAAATTTTCTTTCTCTGTGGTGAGACCAGCCCTCCTCCTCATTTCCTTCTTCAGAATTACTTCAGATACTGTTTTAACATTGTTCTTCCATAAGTTTTTTAAAATTAGTCTATTATATTTAATGAATAGTTTTCTTCAAATTTTGCTACAACTAGAATTAAATGTACGCATTAATTCAGAGACAACATCTATATATTTGCAATTGATGTATCAATCCATTACCTGGGGTTATCTCACTTTGCAATCAGGTTTTATTTCAGTTAAATAAAACACATTTTTATTATTCTACACATTATATTTATGCTATTATAGTTATTTGGGGATCATAAACCATTAAAGTATTTGCTACTTTTAATCTTTAGCATCCAAGGTTATTCTGGGCAGTGATATCTAGCTGACAGATGGAAGAAGAGACCAAGTAATGAGTGAAAGGATTTTATAGGCTAGATTCAGGAGTGGTGCACATTTGGCAGAACTCGATCACATGGCCTCACATAACTGCAATGAATGCTGGGAAATATCCACCTGGGTGCCCAGAAAGAAAAGACATGGGTTTGGTAGGCACAATTTATGCTTAGCCGCTTTAGGGAAGTTCCCTTCAATCCATATTTAACTAAGAATTACGATAATTTATTAGTCATTATTTCAAAAGCTTTTATCTTCGCCTATTGAGATAATGTTGTCTGTTTTCTCTTTTTATCTGTAAGGAGGTGAATTTCAATGACAGATTTTCTTCATTTTGACCCATTCTTAAAACACTCGTATGTGAAGTATTATTTCATCAATACATTGTTGGATTTCATTTCCTAATACTTTAAGATTTTTTATCTTGGTAGTGTCAATTTTTCTTTCCTTGAATAGTACTTGTTTGGATTTGTTAATGAGGCTTACCTCACAAAATACATGCTCTTATTCTGTTTGTTGAAACAATGTATATAAAACAATACATACTGTGAAATCAAGGTAAACCTTAACAGTTACTCACTAGGTAATCTCTTATGATGGAATATTTTATTATTACTACTGATTGAATTTATTTTATTTTTATTGATTTATTACAATATTTTTTACTCATTAATGTTGATTAAATTTTGTTTCTTATTTATTAGTTTCTGTTTTTATATTTCCTTCCTTTAGTCTCCTTTGAATTACTATTTCATACATGTATATTTTTTGAGTTGAAAGCTTAATTCATCTTTATAAAATTCTTGTTCTCAGTATTTTAAAGACTATAACATTCCCTGTAAGTATTGCTTTTGGTGTATGCTATACTTTTTAATGGCAATTTTTATTATCTGTCTTAAATTGTATACTTTTAATTATGATTTTGTTTTACCCATATGTTTTGTAAACCCAGTTTTGAAAACTGTAATGTGTTTTCTCTGTAATCAGAGAAAATTGGCTGTGGAATATATTTTGGTAGTTACTTGAAATTTTCCTTGAAATCTTCATAAATGTTTTTAAATTCTATGTATGGTTGAAAAATGTATGTTTTTATTGGTGTATTTTTTAAACTCAAGTACTATTTTGTCTGATATTAATTTCTCAAAACAGCTATTATTATTTAATATTAGTGTGACCTGTCTTTCTATGTGAATTTGTTCTGGATGTGGTTCTTACAAGTACACATTGATGAATTTTTTTATTCTTCTATTTGACATAATAAGTATTTGTCTCTAGAATAAAGTATGTTGATATATTAACAACAGTTCTAATGAAGTTATGTTGTTTGGCTTTCTCACATCATCTGTTTACTGTTTCTCAAAGCTTTTCCTAGTTTATTTTCTTTTTCTTCATTCTGCAGCATTCAGAAAATTTATATACTTGCCCTATCTCCTTTTACTCCTCAGTGTTTTAGAAAATATTCATTCTTATTTTTGTTTCATTAATGATTACACTTAACATTTTAATATCAACTATAAATATTCTTAAGTGTGAATATTAAGTAAGAATATTAACTATAAATATTCTTAAGTGTGAAACTAAGCAATAGCTTGTAATCTTCCTCCCTAAAAAAACTAAAACAAAATTAGTATGTATATTCAATATTCCTCTCTCGTTGCTTTATATGGTCAAAACTTTTAATTCTAAACTTTTACAACTTTGAAAAAATTAATTATTTAAAAGCTATTATTAATTAAATTCATCAGCATGTTTCATCAATTTATTATCCATTTTTTCTTCCCACTGCTCATGTTCCTTTGCTCATGCTTCTCCTGCTAAAATTTAATTGTGTTTTCATGAAGTTTTAGACTGACAAAATCCTCAAAAATTATTTTTATTTTGTCTTCTTTTTAGACAACATGATATTTTACTTGAGTTGGACATATATTGACAGGTTTTGTACTTTTATTCTCTCTCTCTCTCTGTCTGTCTCATTGATATTGGACAGTTTTATTCCATTGTGCCCTGATATTTATTGTTGCTGATGAGAAGTCAGCAATAGTTCTTATTGTCATGTCTTTGTAGATAATTGGGCTTGTCCTCTGATAGTTCTAAAGATTTTTCTCTTTTTATAAATTTTCATGTTACTAATTAGTGTTATTTTCTTTCAGCTTGAAATGCCCCCTTTAGCATTCTAGTGGTTATAAACTCCCTTAGCTTTTGTTTATCCAGAAATTTCTGTATTTTTCCTTTATTTCTGCTTTGCTCGGTATGCCTTTCTTGGTTGGCAGTGTTTTGGTTGTTGTTCTTGTTGTTTTATTTTGTTTTAGTACATTTAATATATCAACTCACTCTCACCTGCTCTGCCAGGTTTCTTTTGTGAGATTCTCTAATAGTCTTCTGAGAACTTCCTTGTATGTGAAAGTTAATTTTCTCTTGCCACTTTCAAAATTCTCTTTTTGTATTTGACTGTTGACAATTTAATTACAAGTTTCGTTGTAGACATTTTTGGGTTAAACCTATTTAGGATCTTTGAACCTCGTAAATATGAATGTCCATTTCTCTTCCCAAACTTGAGAAGCTTTCAGCAATCATTTCCTTAAATAGACTTTCTGTCCCTTTTCCCCTTTTTTCTTATCTGGTATTTTCAAAGTGATTATATTTTTCTTTTCATTGCGTCATCTAAGTTCAGTAAGATTTCTTCATTCTTTTTATTTTTTTTCTATTTGTTCTTCTGCCTGGGTAATTTTACATGATGTGTCTTTTAGTTTCCTGATTCTTGCTTCTGTTGATAAAGTCTTCTCTTGAAGCTCTCCATTGAACCCATTTTCTCAGGATGAATTTAATCAGTTTGCAGAAATTTGTGTAAATAACAAAGAGCTGAATGTCAACAGCCAAAACAATGGAGAAAATGTCTTCAGGCCATGTCAGAAGCCCTTTGAGGAAGCCCCTCCCATCACAGGTCCAGAGGCCCAGGAGGGAAAAGTGGTTTCATAGGCCAGGCCCAGGGCCTGGCTCCTCTGTGCAGCTTCAGGACTTGTACTGTGTATCGCAGCCACTGCAGCTCCAGCTGTCACTAAAAGGTGCCAAAGTACAGCTCGAGCCATTGCTTCAGAGGACGCAGGCCTCAAGCTTTGACGGCTTCCATGTGATATTGGGTCTGCAGATGCACAGAAGGCAAGGGTTGAGCTTTGTGAACCGCTGCCTGAATTTCAGGTATGTATGGAATGCCTGGATGTCCAGGCAGAATTCTGCTCCAGGGGTAGAGCCCTCATGGCGAACCTCAGCTAGGGCAGTGTGGAAGGGAAATGTGGGATTGGAGCCCCCACACAGATCCCCACTGAAGCACTGCCTAGTAGAGTTGTGAGAAGAAGGCCACCATCCTCCAGACCCCAGAAAGGTAGATCCACCAACAGCTTGCACCATGTGCTTGGAAAAGCCACAGGCACTCAACCCCAACCCATGAAGGCAACTGCAGAGCTGTACCCTGCAAAGCCACAAGGGTGGAGCTGCCCAAGACCATAGGAGCCCACCCCTTGCATCAGCATGCCCTGAATTTGAGACATGGAGTCAAAGGAAATTATTTCAAAGCTTTAAGATTTTATGACTTCCCAGCTGGGTTTTGGACTTGCCTGGGGCCTGTAGCCCCTTATATTTGGCTAATTTCTCCTATTTAAAATGGGAACATTCACTCGATGTCCATATCACCATTATATCTTGGATGTAACTAATGTCCGTACCACCATTGTATCTTGGATGTAACTAACTTATTTTTTATTTTACAGGCTCATAGGCAGAAGGAACTTGTCTGATATGAAACTTTGGACTTGGACTTTTGAGTTAATGCTGGAATGAGTTAAGAATTTGGTAGACTGTTGGGAAGGCATAATTGTGTTTTGAAATGTGAGGACATGAGATTTGAGAGGGGCCAGCAGTGGAATCATATGGTTTGGCTCTGTGTCCCCAACCAAATCTCATCTTGAATTGTAATCCAAATTGTAATCCTTAGGTATTGAGGGAAGGACCTAGTGAGAGGTGATTGGATCATGGGGCAGTTTCCCCCATGCTGTTTTCATGATAGTGAGTGAATTTTCTTGAGATCTGATGGTTTTATAAATGGCAGTTTCCCCTTCTTTTTCTCTTTCCTGCTGCCATCTGAAGAAGGTGCCTGCTTCCCCATTGGCTTCCACCATAATTTTAAGTTTCCTAAGGACTCCCCAGTCATGAGAAACTGTGAGTCAATTAAACCTCTTTCTTTTATAAATTGCTCAGTCTCAAGCATTAGCAATGTGAAGACGGACTAATACAGCAACGTAGCAAGACCTCATCTTTACTAAAAATAAAAAATACATATTAACCAGGCATGGTGCTGCACACTTTTAGTCACAGCTACTTGGGAGGCTGTGGTGGGAGAATCACTTGAGCTCAAGGGTTTCAGGCTAGAGTGAGCCATGATTGCACCATTGTACTCCAGCCTTGGCAACAGCATGAGACCCTGTCTCAAACAAATAAACAAAAATTTTAATTCCATTCATATGTTATTGTTCTAATTTTATTCATGTGCCTATCTGTGTATTATAGTTCATCAAACTTTCTTAAGAGGATTCTTTTGCATTGTTTGCCAGTACATTCAGTAGTCTTCATTTCTTTGGGGTCCATTATTGGAGCTTTGTTAGTTTTATTTGGTAGTGTCCTATTGGTTTCCTTTGATTGTTTTATATTTCTCTGATTTTTCATGATTCCGTATCCTTGCACCAGTCTGTGCCTTTGAGGAAGCACTCACCTCTTCTTGTCTTTATAGATTTGCTTCAGCAGAAATAGACAATCACCAGTTATTTCATCCTGGGTTTTGGATGAACCAGTTGACAGTGTTGGAATTTAGAAACTGTTAGCCTACAATGTAGTGCTTTGAAGGAGAGGCCTCATGGTCTCTATGACATTTTATCCTCCCTTATTTCCCAATTCTTTCTCCTAAAACACAGGATGAAGTTGTTCTCTAAAGTCCCCTTATCTGCCTAAAGTTCACACTCGCCAAAGCAAGAAACAATTGCCTGTAGTCCTTTCCATGAGTTTTCATTAACTGATCTCATTGCACAAGAAGAAAGACTGAAGTCTGTCAACACACCTGAATAGACTTCTTGTCACAAACTATTGCCTACTCTGTGGACTCAACAGACTTTGACCCAGGCTGTTGTATGTTTTTTAAGCCCATTAAATTCCCTTAAAACTCATTTACTACCCCCCTTTAAAATTATCCACATTTCTCAATCTCCCTCTCCCCCAAGAAGAAAGGTATAAACCACCTGTACTCAATTCATTGCACATTAGGATAATCATTCTGTACATTTCCCTTGTTTACACCAATAAATCTGTATGCCATTTCTCCTATTAATCTACCTTTCTTCAGTTGATTTTTCAGTGAACGCTCCAAGAGTAAATGGGAAGTTTCCCTTCACTGCTACAGTAGAGACCTAAGGAAGACAGGGCTTCATGTCAGGTTCTCTAGTTGGGCAGGACTGTCACCTCTGCTATGAGTTCAAGTGCAACTCTTGGTTTGCTTCTGCAGTCACTGAGACCAGTGTCTTGGTTCTGTGGTCATCCAGGGTCTCTGGCCCAGGCTGCTTAATGACTTCTGGTAGGGCTGAATCTTAGGCTGTGTTGCCTGGGCAGGTGCTGCTGCTAATTGGACTCTACAGTTGGGCAGGGCTGCCTTTAGGGTACACAACCACCCTTAGTCATGTGGGGTCTTAGGTTACACTCCCCAGTCAGATGGTATTGGTGGCTGGACTCCATGTTGAAGTGATACTCCCCAGTCAGATGGTATTGGTGACCTGTTCTTTCACTGTGACCTGTATTTAAGTGAGGTTGCAGATTAGGACCTGTGATGGGGCAGGGCCATGGGCTGTGCCCTGTGGTTGGGCTGCTAGTTTCACTCCATTGTCTTTTGGACCCAGATGTTTTGCCCTGCAAATATGTAAGATCACAGGTCTGCTTCTTTGCCCAGGCTGGGTCTTAGGCTGGGCTCTCAGCCTGGGAAGAGGTGCTTTTTGGTCTTCTAGTCAGGCAGGACCAAAGGCTATGATCTGCAGAAATGTAAGAGCACAGCATGCCTACCTGTTTGGGCAGAGTCTCAGGCTTGTCTCCAAAGGCTGGGTGGAGTGGCTAGCTAGGGACTGTAGCCAGGTAGAACAGCCAGCCATGTTTTTGGGGTTCACTAGCTAGGCTCTGTGGTTGAGCTATGCCATTGGCTATTCTCTCTGATTGGGCATCACTGCTGGCACAATAGACTTCTGTCTATTGTGTACAACTGCCAACATCTGTGCACTGGTTGCCGTGAGCCTTACCCCACTTGTTTCTAGATGACCACAGGTGGGCTAACCCTGCTGATTTCCTGAGTATTCCCCATGAAACAAGGTAGAACTAGGCCTCCTGGGAAGCACCTCCAATTACTGGAGAAACTGGATATCCACCTTGGGCTCTCTTTTTTAACCATTAGTGAAACTAAACCCAGGGGAATTCTCTCATTGGGGCATTGTGTAAGCTTGGGAGATTGGCAACACAGTCAGAGTAAAACTGATCCCGTTAACCTTCTAATGTGCTTTTTTTTTTCTTTTTTTGGTGTCCAGAAAGGTGTTTCAGCATCATCTCTGGGTTCTTGGATTTTCACAAGGTGTTATTATCTGTAGACAATTGCTAGTTTTACTTTCTGTGAGGGGGCTTAAAGCCAGAGACATCTTGCTGACATCCCATAGAAACTTTAAAAGCATGACCACAGTATCATTCAGATCACAATGACTGCAAATCTTTTTTTCTATCTTAAATATGGTTTCAAAACTCAATATTGTGCATATTTGGAAGTAAAACTGCTTTGAATTGAACTAAAGGCTGGAGAAACTGAATACACCCCAAGCAGCCCTGTGGTTGCTCCTGAAGCACCTTTGAGGAACCCTAAAGCATCCTACAAGATAATGTCAAAAACAATACACTGAGTTATAGATTCATTCATTAATTACTTCATTGATTCAAATAAATAGCTCTTTAGTGTTTCTTGTTTACCAGTTCGTAAAATAAATTATCCAATTAAGGATTCATTAAGCTTCAACATTTTTATTATGTAATTATTTTCAACTCATTTTTTAAAAACCTAGTCTTACCCAACTATTCAGAAATAGTCTATATTGGTCATTCACACCTTACAAAAAATTTAATGCAATGCATTCTCCTTTCAGTGAAATTGTAATGCTAAACATTTTCTTTCTTGGTATTTTTTTTTGTAATGGAAAAAACTAATTCATTAACTATTAATAATAAGATGGATTGTGAAATGAGGGATGGGAGCAGGCTTGATGTTTTTGAAATTACCCACCCTAATCTATCTACATGTATGTCCAATCCATTCAATATAAATGATGTGTTGGTCTCGTTTGGAGAAAGGCACAAAAAATTTTTGGAATATATAAAAACTACAGACAGGCTATATATCAATGGCTGTTTTCCATGGATCCCTGAAGTTCTACTACCATATTTCAAGAGTTTCTTTTACTTTTGATACAGATTTCATTTGATTGGCATGTTTTTAATATTTTACCTACTGTCGCTAACTACTGTGGTAAAAATTAGCATATATACTTATATGGTTAACAGTTTTTAACATGTAAGAGAGTAACAAAACCTCAATTGTGATGCCAAGCCACCTTAGAAAGGAGCTTTGCATAAAAGTTCTTTAACTATCTTTGTGCATGCATTAGAATTTTTTAAATGAAACACTGAAAAGGATGGCTATGAATCTGTTTTTTTTTTTAATTTAAGGCTTCCATATTTAGGAGAAAAAAGAAAATAATACCTACTATTTATTGTTTCTGTTATTTTTAACAAGTTTATATATCATCTTATACGTATTCACCCAATTGAAAAGGCAAAAAACTAATTCTTAAATTCTTCCAAAGTCCACTCTCAAATTCTTGGCTTTTGGCATACCCATACTCTAGCACAGGACATAATATTATACTAAATGAGTCTCTGTCTCCATTTTATCCTTTGTTGTACTACAAGAGAAGTGAAGACTATCTCAATAAAATGGAAAAAAATTGTGCACATGGAGATTTCTAATTGCTGATTTATTTCAAAAGATTCATTCTGGCAGTCACTAACTGGCATGATGTACCTCACATTGTTTGTTTGAAAAGGAAAGTGGTTTATCTCATACATTTTTCTCTTGGCTTTAGTACTTTCTGACAGCAGAGACAAAGATTACTGTAACCAATCAGTAGTCAAAAGCCAACTAGGCACCTCAGGAAAGAATTGTTAGGAAAAAAAAATGTGTAATCAAAATTTTAATATTAGTGATTTTAAATTCTGGCAGAACTATTTTGGTTTTTGTTGATGTTTAGGAATGCTATATTAGCAGTTGGTCAAATTGCTGCTCACTGGCTTTTCTTAGCTCCCATAATCCCATTTGCCAACTAACTTGCTGACTCTGACTTCTATCTGAGATAGGCACTACCTTGGATGATCGAAAATGTGGAAGAGAAGAGAATGTTCAATGTGTCCTTTCTTCTCTGCTAAGATAGTCTAACACTGAAAAACCACCTGCTGAGAAATGTTCCTCTGACTCACAATTTACATGTAAATTATGATAACTGACTTAGTCTTTTATGTAAGAGAGAAACAAAAACACATTATCTAGTATTTTTTTCTTGTATAAGATAAAAATGACCAAAATGGAAAGATGAATTTGGACTGTGGCATTTAAAAAAAATTCTGACCCTTTTAAAATATCACTCTTACAAATACGATTTGTGGGACCAGTGAATTTACTGACAATAATAAAGGAAGAATTATTTCCATGATTTATCAAATGTATTCCAAGAAAATATGTGGGAAAAAAATCTGATGAGGCATCCTCCAGCCTCAACATCAACATTTTCCCATATATTGTCATTTCTATGAAGTATTGATATCCTAATGTCCAGTGCAAAATTAAAAATATTATTTCAAAGCAAAACCTTCTAATAACATAAAATACTAATACTTCAAATTGCAATTTTCAAAGTGGGTTTATGTTGAATTACAACTTCAAGCCTCAATGGCCCATTAAATTTTGTTGCAACAGAGAACTCATGGGCCCAGCAGTCTGTAACACCAAGTTCTTCCTCGTCAACTCTATTTTATGCAGTATATCTGCTGATATACTTGGCTTTAAAACTAAACAAATCCTGCTCTGCATTAGAAAGATGTCTTCATACCATGCTGCATTGTATAATGCTAGCTCTATTGTCTTTTATCATAGGTCTCTAGAAAATGAGTCGTGTGTGTTTCTGTCTTTAATGGCTCTGAAGCTTCTTGGATGCTTGGCAATTATTGCAAGGCAGAGAAATACTAAGTACAGACGGAAAGTCATCCCCAGTTGTGGCATAGGCAGATGGTCTTTGGAATCTAATTCAGGGAGCTGTGAGACATGCATGAGAGCTTGTTGGCTGTGTAGCAGTTGCTGTTAAGGATGCAGAGCTGCTCATCAACACAACAATTATGTTAGGATGCTTCTGATTGACTTAGGTCTTCTTTAGTTCCTTAGGATTAGAGCCTATCTAATGTTACCTGGAAGAACACTGGGTAGAAAATAGCTTTATCCCTATCTTTGTAGTGACCATTCTTTCTGGAATCAAACTCTTAAACAAATAAAAAGAAAGGCCATTTTGTTACTGGAAGTGTGATCTGTGGACAAGGTGCACCGCCATTACCTAGAAACTTGCTAGAACTGCAGAAGTTCAAGCCCTACCCTAGACCTACTGAATTAAAAAATCACTTTTTAACAAGATCCCAAGGTTATCTTTATTCATGTAAAATTTGAGAAGCAATGCCCTAGAAATTATCTCATTGATGCTCTTCCTTTTTTTCAAAAGTAAAAAAAACCCAGTTATTTCACATGTCTAAAGTCACATAGGTCATCGGGTAATTGGCAGCAGAATGGAGACTAGAACTCTAGGGTAAGAGTGTAACCATTGACTTTGTAAACAAACAGGCCTTGTTCAAGTCAGAGGTGTGCCACATATTAACCTTATCATTGTAAGCATGACGTGTCCTGTGACACTGACAGCATTAGCTAGCTTCCTCTTCTCTGAAGTGAGAAAAACTTTAGGTAGCATACCGTAAACAACAATCCAAAAAGTCACAAAGTAAAGTCAAAGAAATGAGAAAATTGGAGAAAGGCGACTATTTGTGGCCTCATTTTGCAAAATCCACATTTTGCAAAGTGATCACGAAGATCACATGAGGTGATACATACGAGAGCTCACAGCACAATCCAGATGCTGACCTGACTGTCAGTCCAATGCACTTCCTTATACGTAGAACTTCCTTTCAACAGCCAAAACTTAGATGTAATCAGTGGCTCTTCATTCAGGGACATTGTTGGCAGTGCACACTCAAGAGTGAGATGATGAGAAATAGATGGAGGACTTCCAGTATTATTCTGACCTCCTGGAGAGAAAGAACAGATGTCAGAGGTTAGATTGTGTTTTTGCAGCTCCTTTTTATTTTAGGAACAAATGTTTCCAGGTATAGATCTTTGCAACCATCCCCAATATCCAAATGAGAGAAGAGCTACAAGATTCCACAGAAGTGAGAGGGAGCTCCTCTGCAATGAGGGATGCTGCCAAGCACTGTGACTTGTAGCATTGCCTAGACTTTCAGTTCAGTCCACACAGAGTTACACAATACCTGCTGCATGCCAGACACTGTGCTCACGACAACAACAGCTCATCATACGGAAGCAAAGAAAGCACAACAAAACAAAATTAAATGCCATTGTGCATAATTAAAGGCATGTACAAAGTGCTCTTGGAGCAGATGAGGATTTGGGATAGTTGATTAGGGCAAGTTTCTCAACACTATTATCTTTGATCAGAGGTTTGATGAAAACTTGTTCTTAATGAACATTGGTGTCATAGTAGAGAGCAGCACAAAAACTAGCTGCTGAAATGGCTAATTGTTCTCCTGGTTTTCCTTCTCCCCTTTAACACCTACCTCTTCCTTCTCCTTCTGCTCCTTCTCCTCATTGTAACTAGTACACTTAGAAATTTAATCCTAAAGAATTTTATGAAAGATAAGTCTATTGTATTTTTTATTAATAGCTGGTGGGGCTGAAGTCAGAAATCATGAGACGAAATAATAGGGGTAGTTTATTTCTATTTTTGGAGATAAAAAAATAAAAATAATCACCCTGCTTCAGCCAACTTTCAGAATTTAACTGAAACCATGTTCAGTTGTTTGAGCCAGAGCAGTAGGTGTGTGTCTGTCTTTGCCTTCAGCTCCTATGCAGCATAGAGACATTCATCCCCCACTCATGAAGTAGGCTTCAAAATCCCAAATTTTGTGCCAAACCTAAGATTCATTTTTAAATGATAGCCCAGAAGTTTCAATTCAGAGCAAAAGAAATCATTGACAAAGTTGCAAGCGTCAATTAATTAATTTTAAAAGTCTCTCTTTTGGGGGTCAAAAGTGAGACATTCTTCCATCATTACACAACCAAAAACCCCTGGAGGGAAACTGGAAATTCCATCAAGAGAATTACCATATGGTTTACCTTGAAACACTCTGGTTTATATTTATTTTAATCGGTGTGCAGTGATGCCTTCTGCTTTGTAATCAGATAGTCTATATAAATTAACATGTTATTCATTCTTTTTAAACATTGGTTTATAATATTTAAATATCTGTATGCATCATTAATGATCTTATTTGATATACATTGCCAACCAAAATTAAGCCTGTCGAGGGAGAAATAATTTGATACAGCATTATTAAAAGCTAAATGTGTGGATTGATCAGGAAAGACACACAAAGTTGGGCATGTTCCAGAATCTGCTACAAGTTGGAGGGGAAAGTTTACAATAAGGGAGAAGGACTCCTCACACTGCAGTTTCCTTTTAATTGGAGGGTTCACCACAGAAGTTATAATCATTGGCTACAGGTTGCAACATAACAGGCTGAAATATTCTAGGTGCAAGACTATCAGTAAAACTTTGTGATCCAGAAACAAATCAGCGTCATTTTCAATGTCAGTAGATGATGTATTAATCGGTACCTCAACAGTTTGGAGAATCCATGATAAGATTAGACTCAGGATAAGATTCTTTAATCAAGGACAGGATATAAGTCATAAATTGTAAGACCTCCCCTAGATGGGTTAATTTGGAAGCCTGCCAAATGTGACCTGTGAGTTATCAACATTAACTATTTTGTCAACAGCAACCAAAATACTATATAGAATTAAGTCTTCAATACCAATAATCTGGAATCCAATGAAAATATATCATGTTTTTATTTTGCCAATGGAATATATGTTCTGGCTTTGCCTTTCTCTTATGGGAATTCACACTATATATATATAATATATATATATATTATATATATATATATACTTTATTTTCTAGCTCTTGTAAGTTTTTCTATAAATACTGATAAAATATAGATAAGCAATGCTCATGTAAGTAAAACTATTTGGGCCATGAGCCAGTATTAATTGATTTGTTGAAACTCAGTTCAGTTCTTAGTGCTGTTTTTCATATTCTCTTGGGTTATGCATCCTTAAAAGGAATCTCATGAGTAACTTAAACATATGGTTATACCTTAGATGTCTCCTTTTTTAACATAAGATGTTACATCATTAACACAGCTCTACATTTCAAATATCTTATAGTAATACATCTAATACATTTTTTGTCACTTGGTAAAGATAACCTTTACATTTCCACTTATTTTACAATTTCAGAAAAATTGTGTCCAAGGGTAGCTGACAAAAAACAAGGCATATTTTAACTATATAAATTATTAATAAATATAATATAGAGGAAACATTCTGGTGAGTTTTCCCAGCCCTTAAAATTTTAATTAAAGGGAATGGACTGAAAGGTCATAATAATTTTATAATATCATTACTAACATTTGCTTTCAGAGAAGAGCAGTTGTACTTATACACCAAGTTGGGGAAAATCAAAGCAAAATATATAGATTGAAGTCGGTTCATCAGAGAACTAATTAGACATGAAGTCCTTGCCTGTGCCTATGTCCTGAATGGTAATGCCTAGGTTTTCTTCTAGGGTTTTTATGGTTTTAGGTCTAACGTTTAAGTCTTTAATCCATCTTGAATTAATTTTTGTAAAAGGTGTAAGGAAGGGATCCAGTTTCAGCTTTCTACATATGGCTAGCCAGTTTTCCCAGCACCATTTATTAAATAGGGAATCCTTTCCCCATTGCTTGTTTTTCTCAGGTTTGTCAAAGATCAGATAGTTGTAGATATGCGGCGTTATTTCTGAGGGCTCTGTTCTGTTCCATTGATCTATATCTCTGTTTTGGTACCAGTACCATGCTGTTTTGGTTACTGTAGCCTTGTAGTATAGTTTGAAGTCAGGTAGCGTGATGCCTCCAGCTTTGTTCTTTTGGCTTAGGATTGACTTGGCGATGCGGGCTCTTTTTTGGTTCCATATGAACTTTAAAGTAGTTTTTTCCAATTCTGTGAAGAAAGTCATTGGGAGCTTGATGGGGATGGCATTGAATCTATAAATTCCCTTGGGCAGTATGGCCATTTTCATGATATTGATTCTTCCTACCCATGAGCATGGAATGTTCTTCCATTTGTTTGTATCCTCTTTTATTTCATTGAGCAGTGGTTTGTAGTTCTCCTTGAAGAGGTCCTTCACGTCCCTTGTAAGTTGGATTCCTAGGTATTTTATTCTCTTTGAAGCAATTGTGAATGGGAATTCACTCATGATTTGGCTCTCTGTCTGTTATTGGTGTATAAGAATGCTTGTGATTTTTGTACATTGATTTTGTATCCTGAGACTTTGCTGAAGTTTCTTATCAGCTTAAGGAGATTTTGGGCTGAGACAATGGGGTTTTCTAGATATACAATCATGTCGTCTGCAAACAGGGACAATTTGACTTCCTCTTTTCCTAATTGAATACCCTTTATTTCCTTCTCCTGCCTAACTGCCCTGGCCAGAACTTCCAACACTATGTTGAATAGGAGTGGTGAGAGAGGGCATCCCTGTCTTGTGCCAGTTTTCAAAGGGAATGCTTCCTGTTTTTGCCCATTCAGTATGATATTGGCTGTGGGTTTGTCATAGATAGCTCTTATTATTTTGAGATACGTCCCATCAATACCTAATTTATTGAGAGTTTTTAGCATGAAGGTTGTTGAATTTTGTCAAAGGCCTTTTCTGCATCTATGGGGATAATCATGTGGTTTTTGTCTTTGGTTCTGTTTATATGCTGGATTACATTTATTGATTTGCGTATATTGAACCAGCCTTGCATCCCAGGGATGAAGCCCACTTGATCATGGTGGATAAGCTTTTTGATGTGCTGCTGGATTCGTTTTGCCAGTATTTTACTGAGGATTTTTGCATCAATGTTCATCAAGGATATTGGTCTAAAATTCTCTTTTTTGGTTGTGTCTCTGCCAGGCTTTGGAATCAGGATGATGCTGGCCTCATAAAATGAGTTAGGGAGGATTCCCTCTTTTTCTATTGATTGGAATAGTTTCAGAAGGAATGGTACCAGTTCCTCCTTGTACCTCTGGTAGAATTCGGCTGTGAATCCATCTGGTCCTGGACTCTTTTTGGTTGGTAAGCTGTTGATTATTGCCACAATTTCAGATCCTGTTATTGGTCTATTCAGAGATTTAACTTCTTCCTGGTTTAGTCTTGGGAGAGTGTATGTGTCGAGGAATTTATCCATTTCTTCTAGATTTTCTAGTTTATTAGCGTAGAGGTGTTTGTAGTATTCTCTGATGGTAGTTTGTATTTCTGTGGGATCGGTGGTGATATGCCCTTTATTATTTTTTATTGCGTCTATTTGATTTTTCTCTCTTTTTTTCTTTATTAGTCTTGCTAGCGGTCTATCAATTTTGTTGATCCTTTCAAAAAACCAGCTCCTGGATTCACTAATTTTTTGAAGGGATTTTTGTGTCTCTATTTCCTTCAGTTCTGCTCTGATTTTAGTTATTTCTTGCCTTCTGCTAGCTTTTGAATGTGTTTGCTCTTGCTTTTCTAGTTCTTTTAATTGTGCTGTTACGGTGTCAATTTTAGATGTTTTCTGCTTTCTCTTGTGGGCATTTAGTGCTATAAATTTCCCTCTACACACTGCTTTGAATGTGTCCCAGAGATTCTGGTATCTTGTGTCTTTGTTCTCGTTGGTTTCAAAGAACATCTTTATTTCTGCCTTCATTTCGTTATGTACCTGGTAGTCAATCAGGAGCAGGTTGTTCAGTTTCCGCGTTGTTGAGCAGTTTTGAGTGAGTTTCTTAATCCTGAGTTCTAGTTTGATTGCACTGTGGTCTGAGAGACAGTTTGTTATAATTTCTAAAACACCAAAAGCAATGGCAACAAAAGCCAAAATTGACAAATGGGATCTAATTAAACTAAAGAGCTTCTGCACAGCAAAAGAAACTACCATCATAGTGAACAGGCAACCTACAAAATGGGAGAAAATTTTCACAACATACTCATCTGACAAAGGGCTAATATCCAGAATCTACAATGAACTCAAACAAATTTACAAGAAAAAAACAAACAACCCCATCAAAAAGTGGGCAAAGGATATGAACAGACACTTCTCAAAAGAAGACATTTATGCAGCCAAAAGACACATGAAAAAATGCTCATCATCACTGGCCATCAGAGAAATGCAAATCAAAACCACAATGAGATACCATCTCACACCAGTTAGAATGGCAATCATCAAAAAGTCAGGAAACAACAGATGCTGGAGAGGATGTGGAGAAATAGGAACACTTTTACACTATTGGTGGGACTGTAAGCTAATTCAACCATTGTGGAAGTCAGTGTGGCGATTCCTCAGGGATCTAGAACTAGAAATACCATTTGACCCAGCAATCCCATTACTGGGTATATACCCAAAGGACTATAAATCATGCTGCTATAAAGACACAATGCACACGTATGTTTATTGCGGCACTATTCACAATAGCAAAGACTTGGAACCAACCCAAATGTCCAACAATGATAGACTGGATTAAGAAAATGTGGCACATATACACCATGGAATACTATGCAGCCACAAAAAATGATGAGTTCATGTCCTTTGTAGGGACATGGATGAAATTGGAAATCATCATTCTCAGTAAACTATCGCAAGAACAAAAAACCAAACACCGCATGTTCTCACTCATAGATGGGAATTGAACAATGAGAACACATGGACACAGGAAGGGAAACGTCACACTCTGGGGACTGTTGTGGGGTGGGGGAAGGTGGGAGGGATAGCATTAGGAGATATGCCTAATGCTAAATGACGAGTTAATGGGTGCAGCACACCAGCATGGCACATGTATACATATGTAACTAACCTGTACATTGTGCCCATGTACCCTAAAACTTAAAGTATAATAATAATAATAATAAATTAAATCCATAAAAAAAGAAAACTAATTAGAAATAAAGAAAAAACTGATTAAATCAGAGACTGTTAAGTACTCTGAGTCCATGTTAAATCAATTAGTAATCATATAATTAATACTTGCTACTCCATTCCTTTTGACCTATCATACATATTCATGAATAGTGAAATAACCCCATACTGTGATTAAAACCAAACCCCATTGTTATATACAAATGCACATGCTATAAATTTGAATTGGTATAAGATCTTAAATCAACAAGAATAAATTGGAAACATCTGAAATGGTGATAGTGATATTCTTATTTCTAGTAAATGACTGATTTCTCACCCAGAATGATTATTAATTGAAAAGCGAAATATCTAGAGTGATAGCTGAGGCCTGTGTCGAAAATCAAAAGCAAAAGAAAAGCAATACTGTAGGAAATTATTGGGTGGCAGCTTGGAACTTGATATTTATACATCATCAATTCCAATTGCATGCCAATACCACATGTAACACTGGCCGTTCTCTGCCATATCACTTCCCACTTTACTGTCCACTTCCTGGGTTAGCTATAAGGAGTGGACAACTAGTGGTTCTCTGAATAAAACAAACCTGTTTATATACCTCCACTTTTATGTTTGCTTTCCTTTAGACTAAGACACTCACCTCATACTTCCCCACTTCCTTATTATTGACTTCCTAGAAAACTCCTTCCCATTTGGTGATGGTCAGCTCAGGCATCATTTTCTCTAAAAGGTTTTCCTTTTATTTCTTTATATTTTGGCCCTCCACTGATGAGGCCTGATACAGGCAGAGAATACCATCTTCATTTATTTAATTGTCTTTCCCCATTTCCCTTTCTGTAAGCTGAATGGAAAGATTTTCCTGTCTCCTTGGCTCTACTCATCGTTTTTATCCCCATTATCTCAAAATTACTGAGTCATAGTCAGAAATCAACAAAAATTTGAACTTGAGCTTTGAATTAATCAATTCACTAAATACCAAGTCGTGTACCTATGTGTTAGTTAGGATATTTTTTTCCTACAAATAATAAATAACCCTATTTTAAACAACTTAAAGAATGAGGATAATATATAAACTTACATAACAAGGAAGTGGAGTAGGTAAACGCGTGTGGTAAAGCTTCCATCTTTAATGGTCAGTCTATAGGCTTTGTAAAGGCATTGCTGTTTAAAATAAATATTCTATGAAGTATTACACTTAGTAGTTAAAATTCTAAGAAATAACAGTCTTCCAACTTATATTTGATTCTCTTCTTGGGAACAAACTTGGCCATCACAACATTTTACAGTTTCTCTCAGAAAAATGTGGGATCAATTACTCTAACTGTGAAATCTAAGCTCACCTTGTGACATATTTTGACCACTAGAATGCAGCAAAAGTGCTGTTGTTTCAGCTTAAAGCCTGGATGTCCAAAAGCTTTGCAGTTTCTACTCTTGCTCATCTTGGAATTCAGCAATCATCAAACAAAGTGTTGAAAGACTACAGAAAAAGGTATCAGCCATCCTAGCTATCTGGGTAATGCCATCATAAACCAACCATCTCGGTCACCAAATGGTAACAGATGTATGAGCAAGCTCAACCAAATCAGCCAAGCTGAGCCTGACCAAAAGAAACACCAAACAAGCCCAGGCCTGATTGTTAACATGTAGAACCTCGTGCTACATAAATGGCTATCATTTTAAGAACCTATGCTCTGGGATTCGTTAATGCAGCAAAATTGCTGAATATAAATTCTACACAGCTCATTTTCCAACTTGTAATTTTCATTGTACTTATATAAGATAAATGTATCTTTATGATGTATTACATTTTTATTCATTTTTGTACATAGTGGCTGAATACAGAAGTTGAACACTTGAGTAATATATTTTTATTGATCCTCATTATAAAGGGAAAAAATAGAACTTCTTCTGAAGCTAGTCAGTGGATAATTTGTAATTGTGGATCAAATACTACTTCACTGTAAAAATTCCTCACAAAATTCTAAGCTCATAATGTTTCTTTTCTTCTTTTCTTTTCTCTCTTTTTCCCTCCCTCCCTCCCTTTCTCCTTTCTCTCTCTCTCTCCCTCCCTCTCTCTTTCTCTCTTTTCTTTCTTCTTGTGTTTGCACTCCATTCTTTCACGTCAATTTTTCTGAACATTGCTTAAAGCAGATGCATCTTTACAAAGCTCTTATTCTCTCCCTCAAGGATGCTGGGGAGCTTTATCTCTATAAAGAAAGACACTCAATGCCATCTGACTCATTTTTACATGTTTCTTTTTTCCCTCCTCTGATATCTGTTTGCAAAGTTTTAACCTGTAACATCTGATTAGGAGTATTTGCTCAGATTGTTTCATCAAATGATTTACTGCTTCTGAACTTTCTTGAAATTGAAGACATCTTTGGAAACGAAAAAGTTTTATTTTCATGTAAGTGCTCTCAGGTCTCCGTTTACACATATACACTGTAAAACTTTGCCTATAAGCATGTCCTAATTAGTATTTCAGTGTCACACTTGGTCTTAAAACTTTGATTTTCCTATCCCCCGCCTAAGCCAGCTTTTCATTACTAGGCTAAACTTTAGTTCTCAGTGACCTAACTGCTTTTACAATTACTTTATTGTTTATTTCAAATTTTCTTCATCATGTTATCAAAGTATTGCCTAAAGATACAGATTTTACCTTATTGTTTCTATGACTAAAATGGCCCATATTTAATCTTTTTTATGTTTTATAATCTGAATGTCTTAGCCACTCATTCTAGAAACACATATTGTGCTTCTGATTGCTTAGGATGTGTTGGGCTGTAAGTAAATAAACACATAGCAGTCACTTGTACTGTCATTATTAAATGGAAGTATTTAATGATCCACTGTAAAGCTTTCAGTTTTTCTTTTAATTTCTTTTCTTCATTCCATGATGACACTGAGGCCCTCCTTAAACTGTACCTACTGTGCCTAACCCCTCAATCATAAACTTATCTTTATTCTCCCAGCTCTTACATGTTAGTTTCTGGAATGCTGTTGTTTGATCATTTTCTCTCTTAATTTTGTGTATTTGTTCTGATAGATCCCAGCTACCCATACAACTTCTACCTCTTTAATCCAATGACTCACAGTTGTACTACTCAAGCCCAGTGTCCTCTTCTGAATTCAAGAATCTGCTGTCAATTGAACATCTCCAGTTGGAGAACTCATTGGTCTGTGAAACTCAGTATGATCATATAGAACACATCACCATCCTCCATCCCAAACTGCCTGTTTTCCCCTTTGCAATGAGTAGTCACCATCATCATCTCAGTGGGGACAGATACCCTTCCTCTTCTGCTGAATCCCAAAATTGAATTGCTTATTTAACTAATTAAATATACTTTTTATGGAGCCTATGCATCTATTCATTCCTTCATATAACTACTGCCCTGAAATAAGACCTCATTATTTTCCTTTGATTGGACCATTTTAACAACTGCCAGAATAGTCTCCTTATCGCTAGTCACACTCTACTTTGAAGCTTCCTCCACAGTTCTGTCACAATGCAACTCCTAAGCTGTAAACCTTGCAATATTACAGTTGTCTTCAAATTTTGAGGAACTCCTGAGAACTTCAGGAGAAATTCCAAAATTCTTAGGACATGTTGGATAGTTCATCCTTTTCCAGTCATGAGTTTCTGCCATAATCTCATGTGCAAGCATCTCTTGTCCCCATTCTCATGAAAGTATTTGCAATCCCTAGAACATAAGGATGTAGGAGTTAAGAAGAAATCGTTTAGGCAGATAGTAAGGATATGGGGGTCCTCAGTAAGGCTTTTCTCTTTAATGAAAAGCAGCCCCAAATCATTTTCTAACAAGCAGTAGCCTGTAAAGTCAAGCTGCAGACATAGACAAGCAAGCTGGGAGCTTGCAGGGGTGAATGCCAGCAGGAACTAAGAACTAGACATGTTCAAGATGGCGGCTCCATCTTCCCTTCTCTGCCAGCCACGTGTATTGTGAGGAGCAGATAAGATGGCACCGATCAGTTGGAAAACTCATTTGCATGAGATTAGGGTGGAGTGACTAGCTTTTCCCCTGCCCTATGTAAATGTCTTACCTGATTGAACCAATCTGTGAGCCCCATGTACATCCAGACACCACCTCCCCAAACTAGACTATAAAATCCAGTACTTTCGCCTCCAGCGGGTCTTTTCCTCTCAGAGACCCCATCCTCTATAGAAAAATCTGTTTCTCTTTCTCTTCTGCCTATTAAACCTCTGCTCCTAAACTCCTCGTGTGTGCCTGTGTCCTAAATTTTCCTTGCATGAGATGATGAACCCCGGGTTTATATCCCGGACAACATAGCCATTTCAATAGCATGATACTGGTGTTTCTGTGACTTATCAGGTGTTTTCTCTCTGTTTGGAAAACCATTCCCCACATGGTCTGCCTGAATAACTCATTGTGTTTGGAGAAAAAATAAAATGAAATAAAAAATAAAACTTTGAGTACGTTTATTCCTTTTATTTGTAGAATTTACTATTGATTGCATAATGGCACTAATGCTGATCTTCCAAATATTATTTGTATGTTATATATTATATAAACTGAAAGTTTCTCTGTGTTCTATAGATTATGCTACTAAATAATTATTACATATAGTTAGTCACAGCTAAATCTTTGGAGGTTAAAGACTTTCTAGGAGCCAATTTATGTCACTTACTAGTTTTTTGAAACTAATAAGTTATTAACAACTTAAACTTGTTTTTTCAGTTATTAATTGTGTAATATTATGGGTCCTGTTGGGAGTGGGGTTTCTGTTCCTCACTTCTCATATTTCTTTTGGGGAAGGAAATAAGACCTTCACTTTCAAGAGAGGGAAATATTGGAGAAACATTTCCAGCTACTCTCTGCCTCCTCACTGATTCTTTCTCACAGAGGAGAGTCTAATCTGATTAGCAAATTTGGAGAAGGAAATAAGCTTGCCCAGCTCAGTCCTTTCTTCTCTCTTTAGAGTCACCTTGTCTCCAGGAGGCACACATTCTGCTATGTTGTAAACATAATGGAGAAAACATTGCCACTTTTGGGAGAGCCCTCATATTGTCCAGTTCAACCGGTGACCACTAAACAGTAAACAGTAAACCAGTAAACAGTGATGAGTCTGTTTTCATTGAAGCAACACATTAACTATACCTTCTGGCTACAAATCGAAAGCTGCATTATACAATAAGCTTTATCAGTGATAAAAACAATATTTTGTTTTCCATTTGCCCTAGTCTTGTGTGCTGTATCTCAATTAATTCTGAACATGGACAGCGAAACATGGTATTGTTGATTAATACCCCCAGTAGTGCTGACTACAATACTGATTATGTAAGAAAATGTAGTTAAGATGCCTAGCATATGATATAGTAGTATATCCTAAGTGCTTAGTTAATGTTAGTTATTATTATTGAATCTAATTGGTCATTTTCACTACACATTTGTTAATAGCACAAAGCACCCCTAACATGATAATGGAGACCAATGGGAACACTATGTTTTCTTTAGCAATACCAAGACTCCTTTAAATAGGCATTGATTTCATTTGTGATGGCAGCCTGTATTTGAAACTAGCCAGACCCTAGGTGCTTGATGTCATATAGACAAAATATCAAGACAATAAGCTCAAGGGCTTATTGTCATGTGACTAAATTGGCATTGTGGAAGTGGCACAATCTATGAGAACTTACCTTTGGAATAGATTCTATTGGTTCATTTCCACCTAAAATCAATACTTCTCAATCAGAACCAGCTTTTTAGAGTTGCCTTTGCATTTTACTACCTCTTCATTTTGTCCTTCAATTTTTATTTATTTTTTCTGTTGTCCCAAACTTGGACTTAGTTTCTGTTATTCAATACTATGAACGTCAAGTACCTCTGGCAGTTATCACTTTGAAGCAGCCTTTCCTATAATCACCATCAGGAGCAGTAAACTCATAAAAGGTGTCAAGATGATGGATGACTCTCCTCAGCGGCCTTTGATGTCTCCAACATACTGGGCTGTGTAGAGACAGGAAATGAGGAATCTGCAGGTAAAGCAATCCGGAACAAGAGTGATGCAGACTCATTCTAACCAGAAACTGAAAAACTCTTTTGTTATAATAAGTAAATAAAAATGTTTTTAAAAAGCAAATGTGAACAATACAGGCCAATTCTAAGTAAACACTACTTGTAGAAAAAGGCCAAGGTAACACAAGAGAACTAAAGGAAGGACTGAAATGAACATTGTTATTGGCAGCCACTATGTGAAGGGCACCAAATACTTATTGTTTACTTATCACAATCATCCAAGATGCCTGTATTATCCCCTGTATTTCTTTTTAGTATCTGCTGATGCTGAAGTAAAGAAAATGTAAGCAACTTTACCAAAGTCCCCATCAAATAAGTGTCAAGAATAAGATTCAAAATCAAAATATCTCCTTCCCAGGGTGGTTATGAGGAATGAATTAGTTGACATTTGTAAAAACCCAAAACAATACCTGGCACATAGTCTGCGTTCACGAAGTTGTAGTTATTATCATTACTATACCTTTACCTGTAATATGTGACTGAGAATTCCTCCAATATTAGGATATATAACCACCAGGCTTAGCAAACAAGAAGTGCCTATTGGGTGCCAGAAAATTAGAATCTAATACAAGGTCCCTCCTCTCATGCAGTTTACAAACTATACAAGATTTATGTGCAAATGTATACATCCTACACCTGAACACTGTATAAAAATCATCTTTGGGATCCATCTTTGGCTTATATCTTCTTTAATATGCAAATACATTCATATTAGCATTGATTCTATATTCTTCCTGACCACACAGAACTATAAATCCCTGCCAAATTCTCTATCAAATATCTCCGAGAAGTCTCATGGGACAGTCACTAACATGCTTGAACAATATGAATTTGCTTGTTGTGGCTACTTTCCCATCAGGTTTCTATTATTTCTCTACCATATTCACTTGACATTTATTTAAACCACTGATAATACCGTTCTCATAGATCACCCATCACATGGGATATAGTCTCTCCAGGGGCTTCCAAAGCTGCAGAGCATTTTGTGACTGAAATGACACTGTGTTACTATGGTCCTAACTGAGCGTGAGATAAATGTCTGTTCTCCTCAGATACAGTGAACATTTGTCTTTTCTTCACAAAGACCTGCTATGGTCCCTGCAATTGAGCTGGGGACCCGAGTCATATCCTCCCTCTCTTTTCCTCCTTTATCCATCACTTAGGAGCTCTTGGCACTGCGATGTCCAGTTCTCACATATTGCCTAAGCCTGACCTAGAGTAGGCTTTGTAGTAAATATTCAGTGAATAAAAGTTCTGTGTTTAGAGAAAAAGTAGAAGGTAAGAAATAGAGACATATTTAGAACACTTAGAGCTGTGGATATAATTTCTGTCTTCAAATTCTTATGAAAGTCCAATTGCTGAGTGACAGTGAGGAAAAAGGTTGATTACCTAAAGCTCTCTTGGAGACTTCCACAGTAAAAAGATTGGATTGAATGATAAAAATGGAAATGTGGAGCTTCTTTATGGTTTTATAACCCCTAAAGCCATAGGGATATTTGAAAGGTTGTGACCTGCAATTGTAATTACGGTTGCCATCATCCTGTGAGAAGGAGGGTAGCCACTGTAAATACTTCATGGGCTGTAATGCTTTGGAAATGACTTTTAGAAGACCTATTCAAAGGAAAGGAAGTGGAATACTAATTTTTAAAAGTGAATATTTTTTAAAAGAATAAAGAATTGTTCCCATATTCTGATGTCTGTGCAATCTCAAACATTACACCATAATCATCTGCTGATTTCTAATGCTTTAAACTCAAACAGCACACCATTCCAAGGAACTCACCTTAGGTTTGAGACATGAGGGACTAAAAGAAATACTAAATTCTAAACTATAAGTCACGTTCTTTTCCTGGGCTTCAAATATTGCGGTGTGAAGTATAAAACTGTAAAACTCTCATACTACTTTATCAGCACTCCTCTTCTGGCAGTTAACATTTTCTATTTTGTATACTTTGTATATACTTCATCTCTTCTACTTAGCCACAGGCAACAGAGTATAGTAGAGAAGACAAAATAAGGGAGGCTTTTAGGAGTTAGCTCCTGGTTCCATGCCTACAAAATGTGCAAACTTGTATAAGTTAATAATTCAGTTCACTCATTTATCAAATTTTTAAAATATGATACCTCATCATAGTGTTGTGCAAATCAAATGAGTATATATGTGAAAACACAATACGTCTGCCTGGTTTGCAATTAGTATTTATAAATATTTGTCCCCTTTCTCTCACCTTTGTCCCCTGTAAGAAAATACCTGTATATAATTCATCGTGATAGCTATTGTTAATACCCACTCTTGTGATTTGGAAGTGTCTGGTACCCAACAATATTTATAGATTGAAAATAAATGAACAGACGACTTTCGAAAATCCAAAAAAAAAGGTTAAAGAGCAAGTTAAGGGCAGTATTATCTTCAGAATTCTCTGGGGTTGAAAGTTCAGCTTAGAGTTCATGAAATTTGAAAATTTTACTTCATGTAAACACTTTACATGAAAGCAATAGTTACAAATGTCAGAGAACTTAGTGCATAACTCTATTAAACAATTAAAAATTTCCCCCTAGTTTTCCTGCGTATTTTGTAGTGATTTATTGCCATTAGTTTAATGAAAAGAAAAAAGCAGCAAAAAGTGATGGCACGTTTTTTCCAAAACTCTCTGAACAAATTATAATAATCTATCTCACATCAAAATGAATTTAATATATGAATAACATAATTGGCGCAAGCTATACACCTAAACAGCTCAGAGCATCATAGTTTCTGGAAATACAATCTCTATATACACAGGGGATGCTGGTGAATTATATAGGTAAAACAATCATTCAAGTCAACTTGCAGTATATACAATTCAAATGTTACATTATCCGAAGTCTTACTATGAGTATGAATTATTCAATAGAGGTTATATGCATATTTTAACATTTCCTTGTAAACATTTTAAATGAATTGAAGATATTAACAGTTTTATTACCATAAGATATCTCCTAAAATCTAAACTATTAAAACGTAAATGTGTCCTTCATGTTTCTGTATATATGGAAAAGATTGTTGCATGCTAATACTATTATTTCTACTACAAATAACCATGAAGAAAAAATGAGAATCCATATCCTTTTGGAGATGATTCCATTTTTTTTCTACTTGTGAAACATACACTGTGGATAATAAGGGTGTCTCTGAATTCAAATTAATCCTTGAAAGTTGCTGTTTAATTAGCTTATCAGAAAGGCCAACATTCATGTATATGCATTTGATAAT
Source organism: Homo sapiens (assembly GCF_000001405.40). Taxonomy (NCBI): domain Eukaryota; kingdom Metazoa; phylum Chordata; class Mammalia; order Primates; family Hominidae; genus Homo; species Homo sapiens. The sequence continues at coordinate 219,175 of NW_017363818.1, read as the reverse complement.
ATAACCCCAACAAGGCAATTCTGGTATTTTACTGCTATTGTATTCAAGGATACAAAAATGCAGAGGCAAATTTTGAATTCTATGCTAAATGCCGAGAACATGAAATAAGATATAAACTCTGCTCTCAAGCATCTCACAAAACTGGTAATATATAGAATACACATTACAGCCAGCACACTTGACTATTAATTTTATAGAAATGAATGAAACTAATGAAGAATTGTAGTATGATTTAGAACAATATGTTGTTCAAATCATAACACTTCTGAAAAGGGTAATTTTTCCTTTACAAAGGTGCACTTTGATAAAATCAAAATAATTTTTCAAGCATCTATGTTAGTAGAGGGGAAAAGATGGGGAATTTGAAGTTTGCTCTTTCATGAGTATATACTGTTTGAGGAAAATGGAGAATCTAGTTTTCTGTTTTGTCTGCTGTGAATAGTTACAGTTATCTTGCCCAGCTTGTACTGGTAATAGGCTTCAAGCACAAATGTTGACTATTTAACAAAAAGGATAAAAACATTGAAAATGACTTTCAAACCTTTCCCAATCTGTGCTCCTTCCCTTCTGAAAGCTCTTAAAATTCTTGGTACTCATACCCATATGCCTTACAGAAGCCCCTTTGGTCAATGAAAGTCAAGTACAGAAAAACATATTGCAAGACATCTAATTATCTCTTTTTGTTCCCTTCCTCAAGTTTATTTCATTTAATACTTACACGACCTAACAAATGTATCTCTGGGATCACCCACATAAGGGAGACAAAAGATACCCTGCTCCCTCCCTAAGAGCCATAGGAATCAGGGATTGGCCACTGTGAATGAGAATCATTTGAATGGTGCAAACTGGCTCACAGCACATAGGTCGTTGAAAATTCCAGGAAAATGCCCCCTCCTCTTGACATTGGCTAAAAAAGAACATGATAAAATAGAAAAAAGTATTGAAAGTCAGACTCTCATTTTGCTAGACTTTCATTTTTGTGGTGTTTCACAGAGAATATGAAACCCTCCAGAGCAGAGAATATAGCCAAAAAGAAAGCAAAGTAAACTCCCCATCAGTACCCATCTCCTACAATGAACCCAGGTTTAAAGATTTCAACATCCTAATGGAAAGTAACTGCTTGCAGGTTGCAGGTAAAGCTGGTGTGAACAGGTGAAAAATTCTTTGTAAACATAGCTTTCTATGAGCTTTTGTAGAAATCATCTTCAGCAAAGACTGAATCAATAAAGAGTAGCTTGTTAAATTTAAATACTTGTTTGGAGTTGTTATGGTTATATTAGTGAAAAATAATTATAGCGAGTCTATCGTATATGACAATGAAGCAGTTTTGTCAGCAATTTGTTCTAAGCATGGAAAACAGGCAGTTTTCGCCATAATTACTATATTCTAGAATTGGTTTGCATAAATGAACAAGTATATATTCCTGAAATGTTCAACAGATATGCATACATATATATGGCTATGTATGCTAATCGCTGACATTTGTTGGATACTATGTACCAGCTGCTGTTCAGAGTTTTCATGGATTAAGTCATTTCAATCTGAGATTGGGATAAATTATTATCTTCATCTAGTAAATAGTAGAACCAAGAGTTTTATCCAGATAGGCTTGCTCTAGAATATACACAGACTTACAGATACAGAGTCAATCACACACACACACACACACACACACACACACACACACACACAGATTAAGTTCTCCAGAAGCAAATAATGATGAAGTTTGGTGTCTTGGGATTCTCTGTGTTTGTTAAGAATCAATATCTGTGAAGGGAAAGAATGTGTAGCAGGATTGAGCAAAGGAAAATTGTGACTCAGGCCCAAGAAATCCTCATCCAGTTTGGCAAAGAGCAATGGGACATGATAATGTCTTGCATCTGGCCAAAATGACTAGAATTTTATATCCACATTTCATTCAGTCCTTGGATCTGAGCTGCTTTGGGAAGATCATAACCTTGGGTGGTATGGAGGTCTGCAGTTGAGGTAGACCCTGAAGTGGCTGACCCCTGGAGGTTATCTGCTGACTGTACTCTCCATGAGTGGGCAACAAATTCTTCCTTAAAGAGGAATCTGAGAGACACATCTATATGTCTATGCCGTGCTCCCTTGACCCACATACACATACAGGGTGAATATTCATCTAGACATGTTGTACCATATTCAACTTATAAATGCACAAAACGTGGTAGTATTACATATATTTGGGGGTGGCCTGCCTAGCATTTTGTCCTGTGAAAAACCTTTTCAAAAAAAAAACTTTTCCCTAAATCCATGTAGTTGGTTTGAAATTATAAGTTGGAAGTAGATAGTTCCTATCAAACAATAATTTCAGTTGGCATTTGTCTAGATATTGAATTAAAAGTTCCTAGTGTACATTGTGTCAAGACCTAACAAAGCTTGTAACTAAAAGCACTAACTTACTTCTCTGTCTCTCTTTCTGATTTGATGTTGTAGCTCATTAGTATTTTGAGAACTCTCTACCCTCCATAATAACATCTACCTACCCTCTAGGATAATATACTTGCTGCCTCTCACTGCTGCCAGGTCTTGGTTAGTAACCTTCTGTCTAGTAGTTCCCCATAAATTCCAAATATCAGGGAGAACAGGTTGGTAGTATTAACATCTTCTCTCCCTGGAATCCTCATAAAATTGGACCAACCCCTTCTCATTGACCTCCTCTGGTCCACAATTATTTACTCTGTTGACTTGGCACAGAGTAGATCTACACTTACAAAAGAAAGGGGAACTAAATAACTGTTTGTGTTCCTTCATGTTAAGGCACACCACTAAACTATTTACTGGTTACTGGTGATTACTGCTTTCCCCTTCCCCACGTCGTCATCTAGAAATTGGTTGATTAAATTATAGAATGTTGTCCCTTCGTTAGTATAAGGAATGTGTTTTCTCTGCAACATTTATTAATATGACAGAATTCTATCAGGCAAAGCATCCATTTGAACATAATTAAAAGTGACCATTTATTGCAGAATATCAATATTTCAGACTCATTTATCACTATTTCAATAAATAATTATGTAAGTTATGCACTGAGGAAAAGCTGAATGATTTGCTGGCATCCATTATCACCACCTTCAAATAGCTCAACATTTTGTAATTGCTTAAGGTGACAGGTGAAGAACCCCTCCCCTTAATTTTGTTACAGTAACCTGTATGGTTTCTCCATTATGGTTTTATTTATTTCCTAAATACTACACCAATACAATACCTGTAATTATTCCAGTATATGTTTATGGAGTTGGTAAGATTTAATGTATCATCAGTTTAGAATTATGTAGCACAAGGTCATGTTTTACATGGTACATGTTAGTCTTGATTGACTCTTTAAAGTATAATCCTCACTACTCCCATCATTGTGCCTGCAAGAAGAACCAGGGAGAAAAGGATCTGTGATTGCCCCTTGCATAACATTCTTGTGTCTAAGGAATGGAACTAAAAAAAGAGAACATGGACTCCTCAGGTCACTTCCCTTATGCTGCCAGGATTGGCTTACAGCTAGAGGGTATCTCTATTAGGATACTTTAATATCGACATAATTGAAATCTAAGCCAACTCTGCTTAAAGATACAGGATTATCTCACTTATCTGCAAGTGCAGAGATGAGCGAATGTCAGGCATGTTTTGACCAAGACTACATTTCTCTCAAATTCTTATTGTTCTGCCCTTCACTTCTTTCATGGTCACAAAATTAATGCCAACAGCAACTTAGTAATGCCTTCCTTATTATGTTTCATAAAGCTTGTGATAAAGTGCTTATCTTTCCATTTGATTGGACCAAATTATATGATATATTTATCCCTGCTCCAATAACTTTCACCAAGAGATGGTTTTGTGCTAATTGACTTAAACCTGGATTTTTTTAAGACAAACAGTGTCAAGGGGAAGAGAATTAAAGGAATTAAATTAATTGGATTAGACTAATCAATGCCCTTTCCTGGGCATAGGGTTAAGTCTTAGGACCACATTGCTGTTTACAACCAGCCTTAACAAGGAGGGGATAGAATATATATTGGGACACTAACCACAATGTTCAAATGAGTGAATAACATCTTGTTAATATCTATCTCAGCATCTGAAATTCTGCCTGGATGTTCATCCCCATGAAGCTAATCACACCTCCAAGTGGAAGTTGACTAACCTTATATTTAGACTACTTAGGTGTCTTTATTTCTTCAATTTCTTATAAGACTGTGCTAATTCCGACCCAAGATAAGCTGATTATTAAAGGATGTGTTAACAAAATAATTATTTCTGAAAAAAATGTTGCAGTCTTGTGTTCATTGATTTATAATACCTTGTGAAATTACTATTAAAAGAGACAATAAGGAATTACCTGATAATATACAGTCTATTAAATCTCCTGGAAATTCTAAAGACTGACCTAATTATAACTAGAGGAAAAACAACCCTGCCTCATCTTAATGCCTATAAAGTGTTTAAGGATGACAGATGTTCCAGAATTCCAGAGCAGGAACAAAAGGAGTGTTTGCTTAAGGCAGAGTCTCTGCATTCATTTTCTTGGTAACATTATGTTTTCATTAACTGCAGTTTGTGTTTCATGCTTCTGCATTGTACAAGACAAGCACAGTAGCATGTCTAAATGCCCCTGGATTGTATTTCTTATCTATTCTCCCAATCTTTATCATCTGCACTTTTGTATTTTTTCTGAAATTATATTGCTGTGGTTTGAATGTGTCCCCCAAAGTTCATGTCATGGAAACAACTCCCAATGCAATGGTATTAAAAGGTGGGGCCTAATAAGAGGGGATCAGGTCATGAGGGCTCTGCCTCATGAATAGATTAATATCATTATCTTGGGAGTGGGTTAGCTATCATGAGAATGAGTTCCTTATAAAAGAGAATTTAGCCTCATCTTCTGCTCCCTCTCAAGTGTGCCATCTGGTCCTTCTGCTTTCCACCATGGGATGATGCAGCAAGAAGGTCTTCCAGATGTGGCCCCTTGATCTTAGACTTCCCATCCTCCAGAGCTGTAAAAACTAAATCTCTGTTCTTTATAAATTACCCACTCTCAGGTAACTCTCTCTGCTATAGCAATACAAAACAGAATGTGACATACATTGTCTGCATTTTGTTTCTAAGTTAATTCTACAAGTTGAATATCAATTAAAAGATTTTATTTTATTATGACTTTCCAATTATATTTTGCTACAGAGTTAAAGAGTATCTTGTAATGAAATTTTCTTTTTTATATAGCATTTAATTTTTATGTAGAAGTTTCTAACCATTGTTTTAAATCTAGCACTGTCTGCCTTTATCAAATTATTTCGTTATTTTAATGCCTTGGTAACATTTTCTAAACCATGTGATATGTTCTCTTTCTCTTTCTCTTTCTGTCTCTTCAGATACCCTATTCTCTGAATTATCTGTTCTATTTCCAACATTTACTAATTGTTATTTTTGCTACATTGTAGGTATTAAATTAAAACTTCACTTAATTTTTCTTTTCCTGGATCACTGGCTCCCATGTTCAATCTTCCTTGGTTTCTGCACGTATTTTGCTAGAATACATTCTCAGGGAAACTTTTTAGTTCAAATATGTCTCACAATAACTTTCTTTGACACTTCCACTATATCGATAATATCAGTAGGTTTAGAATTTTAAGTTGAAAATAATTTTCCTCAGAGCTTTAAAGGCATTGATCTAATGCTTTCTAGCATCAATATGTTAGTAAGATATATGGTGTTGATCTGATTCTTTTATCATATAAAGTATCTGTCCTAACATAATATTCTCTCTCCTCTTTTCTATCTTCCTTTCTCATCTCCTCCACCTCCTTCATATATAATATATATATGATTATATATAATATATATATAATCTGCATTCTGTCTCTAAGTTAATTCTACAAGTTGATTATCTATCATCTATATTTTTTGTAATCTCTACATCAATATTCTCTATTTCTTATGGCAAAACATCCCACAACCAAATACTTACCTTCTATGTACTTATATAATATATATATTTCAGAAACCATCTTTTTTTCATAATAGCACTTTATATTCTCTCCATACCCATTTTATTGTATTACTTTCCTATTTTATGGATATGTAAATATGTGTCTGTCAATATTACATAGGTTTTTGTTCAGTTATCTTCCTTAAAATTTCTCTTTTCAACTGAGACGAGAAGTCTAGTTTGCAGTTTGTTTTTCTTGGACTTTATCTTTATAATGCAGAAGCCTGATGATCCTTGTTTGCCTTTTTCTGTTTAGTGAACAATAGGATAGTGCAAATTAAAAGTGTAAGGGCAGAGCTGTTAACTTAACCAAACTTACTTTGGAAGGAGTCAAGAAGAAACTGACACAGAACTGTCAGACTCCCAAATGATAAAATGCAGAAGTCATTACTCGGAGGTGTCAATACCCCAGAATATTTGTGCTAGTTTTCCTCAAACTTATTTTTACAGAAGAATCTCATGCTGTTTATTCTGTCAGGACATGAGTACTTGGTTGTGGGATGTTTGCCTTAAGAAATAGAGAATATTGACATAGAGATTACTAAATGTCTGTTTATCCCATCCTCTACATTTCACTCTCTAATGTTCTTGAAGTTTCTGAGTTGAGAAATGTATTGAGAAATTCTATCCTCTGCCTCCTTTCTTGTAATTACTTCTTCATATATTCTAGGCTTTGTCTTCATGGCTTTTTCTCTTTAGTCACATCTCATTGATCTATTTTTGTCATCATAAATGTTAAAATTCATCATCTAATGTTGTTCCTGTTCTCATTCTATTCATCATTATGAATTTATGCATTTTTAGCCCATTACTGTTATTTAATTTGAGTCACACAGAAGCAGCATGTAAACATGTGTGCTCAATCCTCCCTCTTGAATGAGAGGTAGTCTTCACATAGTAAACAACTCAGTAAGTTGTTTTATTGTATGTTATCTCTATTAACAATTTTAAATCACATTTGGTACAAGATGTGTTATTCAGGAACATATAAAAAATTTGCACATATACATAAACATACATATACCCATATATGCTGAAGGGTTGTTTTCTGATGCCAGGGTTAAAATTCAAATCTATGTCTTTAGAATATGTTTCAAAGAGGAAGAACATTGGGTCCGAGTCTTCAGGGTAAGTTACTATAATAAGAAAGAGTAGCCCTGGATATTATTCTTTGTGTTGAAGGAAGGACTGTGGAAATTCAAAGGATTCAAAATTTAGAGAACAACCTAAGCACAATCAGTATTGAGGAAGAGGCTTACAGGTAAGAGAGGAGAGTAATTCTAGACATTATCAGTACTCAAAACCCAAAGATTTGAATTTTGATGCCAATAATCAAATTATGTAGGTGTGTGGCCTGGAGCAGAACATGTAACTCTCTGACCCTCAATTCTTTCTTTTGTTAAACAATGACGATACTTCAGAGTTGAGTATTAAATGAGATAAATAAAAACACAACACAAACCTGGAGGCAAAAATAGATGCTTAATTACAAGTTCAATTTCTTTCTTCTATTATTTTATTATAATTTGTTAATGTCTGGCATGGGACATTATGTCCCATGTTATCTTAGCCAGCTTTAATTCTCTTTAATAGCCCTTAAACTTTTTCTCTGTCACCTGGTTGTTAACAGCTTGATGGTGTGATCATTACTGAAACTATAGTATTTACTCCAAGTTCTACACAAAAACCAAGGACCCTCTTCTTTTCTCCTGAGTTTAAATGATCATTTAAGGTGTTTCTACAAATAAATTTAAATTATAATATTAATGTCATTTGCTAAGCAGTTATCAGTAGATTATTATAGAATCATGTTGAAGCATACACTAAACAGCACTGCCACACTATGCTTGGAGGCCATTTTAAACAACAAAGTCACTAACAAATTGCACAAAAGTACTAAAAAAAATGTGGCAGTAAATAGGCTGCAAAAAAAATACCTCTTTATTTAATTTTATATTTTCTTCATTTTTTTTTTTATTTATTTACTTCTTTTTTGAGACAGAGTCTCACTCTGTTGCCCAGGCTGGAGTGCAGTGGCACAATCTTGGCTCACCACAACCTCCGCCACCCGCATTTAAGTGATTCTCCTGCCTCAGCCTCCCAAGTAACTAGGATTATAGGCGCACACCACCACCCCTGACTAATTTTTGTATTTTTAGTAAAGACGGGGTTTCACTATGTTGATCAGGCTGGTCTCGAACTCCTGACCTCGTGATCCACCTGCCTTGGCCTCCCAAAGTGCTGGGATTACAGGTGTGAGCCACTGTGCCCAGCCTTCATTTTTATTTTTTAATTTTTTTGGTTACATAGTAGGTGTATATATTGATGGGGTATATTTTGATACAGGCACACAACGTATAATAATCACATGGGGGTAAAAGGGGTATCTGTCACGTAAACATTTTAACCTTTGTGTTAAGAACAATCCAGTTATACTCAGGTATTTGAAAATATATAATTAATTATTTGCTATTGTCACTCTGTTGTGCTATCAAGTGCTAGACCTTATTCATTCTTTAAAAAAATTTTTACCTTTTTTTTGAGGTTCGGGGTTACATGTGCAGGTTTCTTATACAGGTAAACTCATGACTCGGGGGTTTGGTGTACGGATTATTTCATCCGCCATGTACTAAGCATGGGACTTGATAGGTTTTTTTGTTATTGCTGTTGTTGTTATTCTGATCCTCTCCCTCCTCCCACCCTCCGCCCTCAAGTAGGCCCAAGGGTCTGTTGTGTCTGTTTCTCCTGCACTTTCTTTCAATGTGTGCTCATTATTTAGCTTCCACTTACAAGTGAGAACAGGAAGCATTTGGTTTTCTGTTCCAGTGTTAGTTTGTTAAGGATAATGACCTCCAGTTCCATATATATTCCTGTAAAAAACATGATCTAGCTCTTTTATGGCTGCATAGTATTCCATGGTGCATACATACCACACTTTTTTTTTTTTATCCAATCTACCATTGGCAGTTAGGTTGGTTTCATGTCTTTGCTATTGTGAATAGTTCTGCAGTAATCATATGTGTGCATGTCTCTTTATGGTGGAATGATTTCTATTCCTTTGGGTATATACCCAGTAGTGGATTGCTGGGTAGAATGGTAGTTCTTTTTTTTAATAATATGAAAGCTGAAACAAGATCAAGTATTTTCTTCAACCTATGCTGAGAATGTGCACAGCCACTAAAATTTTTTGACACTTTGCTTATGTCAGCAAATGGCTGAAAAAGTACTGCAAGTATTGATTTGGGGATACAAATAAATTTTAGCAAGTAAGCCAATTCACAAATAGACAATCTGGGAATGACGACGATTGACTACATCCTTGTAATAAAAACAATAGTGCACATTTATCCATCAGCACTGTTCTCTCTTCTAAGATAATAGATTTATCATGCATAAAATTGACTTAATAGCTATATAGTATTAAGAAGGACTAAATTGTTGGTGGGGCAGCAACAATGGAAGCTGGAAAAATATATTGAGAGTCTATTCTTAAGGCATGGCATCCCAAGCTTGGTCTTCTTTAACATAAGTTATCACTGGAAACACTATTACTTCTCTCTCCACAGAGCTATGTCTTTCTGTACTTACCCAGAAACATCTCAGTAGATACAGATAATTAATTTGGATTGTAGGCTAATTCAGAAATGTACTAAGCTCAAGTTTACATCTGCACAGTAGAAGACAATTGTAAAACAATCTATATATTTTTTGTCACAGCACTAGTTAACAAATTAAGGAAAAATCATGTTTCTAGCACTTTGAAACTTATGTACTAGCAGAAATATTTCTAATGAACTAAAACTTAGATGTCAATGCTCTACTCCAATTACAAAAAATAAGCAGCCTAAGGTTTCCACAGGGCAAAACTCTTTGTTACCATAGTCTGGAGTGTTACATCTTCCTAATAGCTAGAATCTTGAATTAACATAATTGCATATTTTCTGCCATTGCTCTTAGAACTTCTTTATGCAAACAGCTGGGATAAATGTGTCCTAGATTTGCTTGCACTCCACTCCAAAATATTACACTGATCTTAGGCATTGTATCTTTTAACTAATAGGTTTCCTATTTGATTGAAGAACTAGGAAGCACAAATTGATTTTAAGAGTATTTCACAATTGTAAAATATATTCTGTTACATAAATATTTTCTGATTTTTCTCACAGTTATTTTTTAATTTCTGCCTTGAATGTTTTCTTTTTACAATTTGGATTTTGTTCCTTCTGTTTTAAGTTGTATTTTTTTCTTATAATTTCAGCTTTTATTTTAGGCATGGGAGTACATGTGTAGATTTGGTACATGGGTGTATTGATCAATGCTGAGATTTGGGATATGGATTCTGTCACCCAGGTAGTAAGCATAGTATTCAAAAGGTAGTTTGTCAACCCATGGCCCCTCCCTCTCCCCTCTAGTAATCCACAGTGTCTATTGTTTTCATCTCTATGTCCATGTGTACTCAAGGTTGAGCTCCCGCTTTTAAGTGAGAACATGTGGTGTTTGGATTTCAGTTCTTGCATAAATTTGCTTAAGATAATGGCCTCCAGTTGCACCCATTTCCTGCAGAGGACATGATTTCATTCTTTTATTATGACTGCATAGTATTCCCTAGTGCATATTTTTTTTACTCAGTCTACCAGTGATGAGCACCTAGGTTGATTTAATGTCTTTGCTATTGGGAATACTGCTAAAATGAACATATGAGTGCATGCGTATTTTTGATAAAATGATTTATTTTCCTTTGGATGTAAAGCCAATAATGGGACTGCTGGTAGCTCTGTTTTAAGTTATTTAAGAAATCTCCAAATATATTTCCAATGTGGCTGAACCAGTTTGCATTCCCATCAACAGTATATAATTGTTCCCCCTCCTCCACAGCCTCAACACTTTCTATGGCTTCTTGAATTTTTAATAATCACCATTCTGACTGCTGTGAAATGTTATCTCATTGCGGATTTGATTTGCATTTCTCTGATAATTAGTGATGTTGAGCATTTTTTCATATTTTTGTTGGTTGCTTGTATGTCTTCTTTTTTGCCCACATTTTAATGAGGTTATTCATTTTTGCTTGTTGAATTCTTTAAGTTTCTTAAATATTTAATATATTAGACCTTTATTGGATGCATAGTTTGTGAATATTTTCTCCTATTCAGTAGGTTTTCTATTTAATTTGTTAATAGTTTCTTTTGCTGTGCAGAAACTCTTTAGTTTAATTAGGTCCCACTTGTCAATTTTCATTTTAGTTGCAATTGCTTTTGGGTACTTAGTCATAAATTACCTCACAAAGACTATGTACACTATGGTGTGTCCTAGATCTTCTTATATCTATAGCTTAAAGTATTATATTTAAATCTTTAATCCATTTAAGTTTTTTATATGGTAAAAGGTAGGAGTCCAGTTTTATTTTGCATATGGCTAGCTAGTTATTTCAGCAGCATTTATTGAATAGGGAGTCCTTTCCCCATTACTTGTTTCTGTCTGTTTTGTCAAAGATCAGACGATTGTAGGTGTGTGACTTTATTCCTGGGTTCTCTGCTCTCTTACCCTGGTGTATAGATCTGTTTTTGTACTAGTTCCATGCTGTTTTGGTTACTGTAGCATTATAACAGAGTTTGAAGTTGGGTAGTGTGATGCCTCCAGCTTTGTTCTTTTTGCTTAGGGTTGCTTTAGTTGTTCAGGATCTTTTTGGGTTCCACATGAATTTTAAAATAGTTTTTTTCTAATTCTGTGAAATATGATGTTGTTAGTTTGATAGGCATAGTGTTGAATCTGTACATTACTTAAGAAATATGGCCATTTTAATGACACTGATTCTTCAAATTCATGAGCATGGAATGTTTTCTCATTTATGTGTGTTGTCTCTGATTTAATTCAGCAGAGTTTTGTAGTTCTCCTTGTAGAGATCTTTAACCTCCTTGTTTAGCTGTGTTCCTAGGTTCCTGGGTTTTTTTTTTTTTTGTGGCTATTGTAAATGAGATTGTGTTCTTTATTTGACTCTCAACTTGATCATTGTATTTTGTTGGTGCAAAAGTAATTGTGGTTTTTGCCATTACTTTTAACTACTTTTGCACCAACTTAATATTTGTCCATTCTCATACTGCTATAAAGAAATACCTGAAACTGGGTAATTTATTATAAAAAAGGTTTAATTGACTCAAAGTTCTGCAGGCTATACAGGAGGCATGGCTGGGGAGGCCTCAGGAAACTTATAATAATGGTAGAAGGAAAAGGGGAAAGAAGGAGGCATGGTCGTCACATGAAAGGCAAAAGAGAGAGTGAAGGGGAAAGTGCTACACACTTTTAAACAAAGAGATCTCATGAGAACTCACTCACTATAATGAGGATAGCAATGGGGAAATCCACCCCCCTGATCCAGTCACCTCTCATTAGGGCCCTCCCCCAACACTGGGGATTACAGTTCAACATGAGATTTGGGTAGGGACACAGATCGAAACCCTATCATTCTGCCTCTGGCCCCTAAATATTCTCATGTCCTTCCTACATTCCAAAATCAATCATGCCTTCCCAGCAGTCCCCCAAAATCTTAACTAATTCCAGCATTAACTCAAAAGTCCAAGTCCAAAGTCTAATCTAAGATGATGCAAGTCCCTTTCGCCTATCAGTCTGTAAAATCAAAAACAAGTTAGTTACTTCCAAGATACAGTGGGGGTACTGGCATTGGGTAAATTGCCCTTTTGCAAAAGGAAGAATTTGGCCAAAACAAAGGGACTATAGGCCCCATGAAAGTCTGAAATTCAGCAGAAAGTAAAGCTCCCAAATAATCTTTGACCCCATGTCTCACATCCAGGGCACAGTGATGCAAGGTATGGCCCCCATGGTCTTGGACAGCTCTGTCCCTGTGGCTTTGCAGTATACAGTCCCTGTGGCTGCTCTCACAGGTTGGTGTTGAGTAACTGCAGCTTTTCCAGATGGACAGTGCAAGCTGTTGGTAGATCTACCATTCTAGGCTCTGGAAGATGGTGGCCCTCTTCTCACAGCTCCACTAGGCAGTGCCACAGTGGGGACTCTGTGGTGGCTCCAGCCTCACATTTCCCCTCCATAATACCCTAGTAGAGGTTCTCCATGAGGGTTCTCCCCACTACAGAAGTCTTCTGCCTGGAAATCCAGACATTTCCATATATCCTCTGAAATCTAGGTAGAAGCTCCCAAGCCTCAATTCTTGCCTTCTTTGCACCCACAGGCCCAACACCACATGGGAGCTACCAAGACTTGAGGCTTGCACCTTCTGAAGCAATGGCCTGAGCTGTACCTTCACCCCTTTTAGCCACAGCTGGAGTGGCTGGGACACAGGACACCAAGTCCCAGGCTGCACATAGCAGAGGGTCCCTGGACCTGGCCCCTGAAATCATTTTTCCCTCCTAGGCCTCCAGGTCTGTGATGGGAGGGGCTACCATGAAGGTCTCTGACAAGCCCTGAAGACATTTTCCCCATTGTCTTGGTGATTAACATTTGGGTCCTCATTACTTATGCAAATTTCTGCAACTGGCTTGAATTTCTCCCCAGGAAATTGTTTTTTCTTTTCTACCACATGGTCAGCCTGCAAATTTTCCAAACCTTTACGCTCTGCTTTCCTTGTAAACATAAGTTTTAATTTCTGACTCTCTCTCTCTCTGAAGTTCAAAGTTCCACAGATCTCTAGGGCAGAGGCAGAATGCTGCCAATCTCTTTGCTAAAGAATAGCAAGGGTCACCTTTATTCCAGTTCCCAAAAAGTTCGTCATCTCCATCTGAGACCACTTCAGCCTGGTCTTGATTTTCCATATCACTATCAGTATTTTGGTCAAAGCAATTCAACAAGTCTTTAGGAAGTTCCAAACTTTCTGACATCTGCCTGTCTTCGGAGCCCTCCAAGTCTCTAGGAAGTTCAAAACATTCCCACATTTTCCTGTCTTCTTCCGAGTCTTCCAAACTATTCCAACCTCTGCCTGTTACCCAGTTCCAAAGTCACGTCCACATTTTTGGGTATCTTTATAACAGCACCCCACACCTGGTACGAATTTACTGTATTAGTCTGTTCTCTCGCTGCTATGAAGAAATACCAGAGGCTGGGTAATTTATAAAGAAAAGAGGTTCAGTTGACTCATAATTCTGCATATATGGGGAGGACTCAGGAAACTTACAATCATGTGAGTAGGCACCTCTCCACACAGTGGCAGGAGAGAGAATGCATGCTGAGCAAAGGGGGAAACCCCTTATAAAACCATGAGACCTCTTGAGAGCTCACTCGCTATCATGAGATCAGCAAGGGGGAAACTGCTCCATGATTCAATGATCTCTGCCAGGTTCCTCCCATGACATGTGGGGATTATGGGATTACAATTTCAGGTAAGATTTGGGTAGGGACACAAAACCAAACCATATCAGGTGTATATATATTTTGATATTTAATCTTTTCATTGAATTTTTCCCTTATCATTGTGTCATGCCTCTCTTTGTCCTTCTTCTTTACTGTTGATTTGAAGTTCCTTTTGTCTACTGTAAGAATAATGACTCATACTCATTTTTTGTTTTCTGTTTGCATGCTAGATCTTTCTCCATTTCTTTTCTTTTGACCTGTGGGTGTCATTAAATGTGAGATGGGTCTCTTGAAGGCAGCAGACAGTTGGACAGTGTTTTTATTCCAGCTTGCTACTCTATGTCTTTTAAGTGGGGTATTTAGACCATTTACATTCAAAGTTACTATTAATACGTGAGATTTGGATCCTGTCATCATGTTGTTAGCTGGTTATTTTGTAGACTTGATTGTGTAGTTGCTTTATACTGTCTGTGCACTGTGCTTTAGTTTTTGTGGAAGCAGGTGTCATTATTTCATTTCCATGTTTAGCACTCCCTTGTAAGGCTAGTTTTAGTTGTAACAGATTCCCTTAGTGTATGATTGTCAAAAAAGGGTTTAATTTCTCCATTGCATATGATGCTTAGTTTTGCAGGATATGAAATTTTTGGTTTGAATGTCTTTTCTTTAAGGATATTGAAAATAGGTTCCCAATCTCTTCCGGCTTTTAAAGTTTCTTTTGAAAGGTCCGCTGCCAGCCAGATGGGGTTCCCTTTGTATGTGACCTGAGCCTTCTTGCTAACTGCCTTTAAGATTTTTTCTTTCACATTGACCTTGGTGAATCAATAACCATGTGGCTTGGAGACAAACATCTTGTATAGTATGTAGCAGGATTTTCCCGCATTCTTTTTTCTTTACTTTTCAGTTGATTTGTAGAACTGGTTATCAAGCTCTGAGATTCTGTCTTCAGCTTAGTTTATTCTGCTGTTAATACTTCTGGTGGTATTATGATGTTCTTGTAAATGTTTCAGTTTCAGAAGATCAGTTTAGTTCTTTCTTAAAATGGCTATTTCATTTTTCAGATCTTGAATCCTTTTACTGGATTACTTGGATTTCTTTGATTGGACTTCAACTTTCTCTTGAATCTTGATGAGCTTCCTTTCCATCCAGATTCTGAATTCTATGTCTGTCACTTAGTCATTTTAGTCTGCTTAAGAATCATTGCTGGGGAGCCAGTGGGCTCATTTGGATGTAAGGGGAGACTGGTGTTTTTAATTGCCAGAGTTCTTATGCTGATTCTTTTTCATCTAAGAGGGTTGGTGTTCCTTTTATTGTAATGTAAGTTGAGTATAGTCAATTGACTTCATTTTGAGTGCTTTCAAAGGGTCAAGTTTCTGAACAGGCTGTTAATTGGTGTCTGGATTCTTGCCATTGGTTTCACAGGGTTGTATACTGGAAGAATATTTTTGATAGTGTTGTTTGGGCTGTGATCCAGTGGGTGGCACCTAAAAGTAATGGCTGGCAGATAGGCTCTTAATCAGCCACATGGCTCTTTCATATTTCCTCATGTTTGCAGTCATGCTCTGTGGTGGTGGGGAGAGAGATGACCCTTGCACAAGGTCCACTCCTGGCCTTGAAGGAGCCCCCTCTAATCAATGGCATTATTCCCATGTTTGCTTTGTTAGCTGTTCTGGGCTATGGGACTCCCTCAGGCAGAGGCCATGGCAGGGAGATAGGCCACACCCTTCATAGACCAGCATTGTGGAGGAAGCTACACACTGCTTGCATGCCAACCCACAAACCCATGCATCTCACCCCTCTCAGTGTTCTGAAAGTAGAGGCACCCTCCCTTTCTGAAGTGTTGGCCGCAGAGCTTGGCTTGGCACTCTCAATTTGCAGAACATAGCCCTAGGGCATTGGGACCAGCCTGTGGCTTTTACTGCTGGATCTTTGGGATTGGGCTCCATCTGTGCTGGAGGATCTGAAGTGCTCCCAGCATGCTAGGAAGGTACTTAGGTGGAGCAAAGTGTCCAGACTGTGCGGTGTACATGTTCCTGCAGGGTGGCCAGGCTGGGGTTGTGGGAGGGGCTGAAGGACAGAAGTACCTGCAGAACATAGGTGCCCCAGTCTAGTGAGGAAGCTGGCCCCAGTTTGTCCTGGACCATTGGTCAGCTGAGGCTAGAGCTACTTAAAGGGAGATGGGGAACCCTTGGGGATGGGCACCTATGGCCATGCTCTGCTGCAGATGCCCTGCACACAAAAGTCCCTGGGCTCCACATCAGCTGAAGCCCTGTCTCTGCCTACTTTCCAGGTGGATTCTCCTGCCAGTTCAAATGTTCATGGGAGATATGGGATCCTCTGTAGCTAGGACCCCAGAGGTCTGCAGCAAGAGCGGGTTGTCCCTCTGTCCCTTCCCTCACCCGTTACCCAGGAGCTGTTCAGGACTGGAAACTATCCCTAGCATTTGAGTACCACTCACAGGGCTCCCACCTTTCTCTCTCTTCAGCCTTCATGTCTATGTCACTTCTCTATAGACTCTTGGTGTTTCATCTGCAAAGATATGCTCAAAGTGTGTTGGTTTTCTTAGTATTTTGGTCTCTGTCTGTGTGAGCGGCATTTCCTGGCTGCATCTAGTCAGCCATCTTGCCCCCTCTAACTTGAATGCATTCTAGTTTGTATTCTATTCTGTAATAAGCATGATAAACAGCCACAGCCATTTTTCTGAAATGAAGATGGACATCTTTAATTACTTTGATAATATTAATACCAATAAAGTGGTATTTATATTAAAATAGTCAATAAATAGCATATTTTAGTAATGTGTATTTTTATTATTATTAAAATAGTTATATTTTATTGTATATAGTTCTAAATTAGTATTTACAGAGTTGCATATAATCATAATTTGTCATCGAGAATTCATGAAAATGTTGTCCAACAAAGAAAGCCTTTGTTTACCATTAGAAAACCGTATTCCATGAGAAATATAGTTTTAAATCTTGGGCTCATGTTACCTAAGAAAATTGCTTCCTTCAGCAAATTTGTATGGAAACTGAGACTTATGGGAGAAATATCTGACTCACTGATCCCATCTGAAGAGGATTTGTGGACATAGGTTCATTGAGTCCAATAGCAGATAGAATTAAATTTTAATTTCCTCTCTCTCTTTGAATCAGTGTAAATTACACACACACACACACACACACACACACACACACACACACACGTTGAGTATCTCTTATCCAAAATACTTGGAACCAGAGTATTTTGGAGGTTGGATTTTTTTTCAGATTTAGGAATATTTGTATATACATAATAAGATATATTGGGGATAGGATCCAAGTCTAAATGCAAAATTTATTTGTATTTCATATATACCTTACACATATAACCTGGATGTAACTTTAAACTATATTTTTAATAATTTTGTGCATGAGTAAAAGTTGTGTTAAGTACTTATTTGTGGAATTTTTCACTTATGACATGATGGTAGGGCTCAAAATGTTTCAAATTTTGAAGCTTACCAGGTTTCAAATTCTTGAATTAAAGATGCTCAACCTGATATACATATTTAACTGAAATATACATTGGTGGAAGGGAAGGATTTTGTTGTGCTTTTAATCACTGATGTCCTCTAGTAGCTAGAACAATGCCTGTCACATAGTTGAGATTCACATTTTATTAAATGCATGGGTGCAACTCTATAGTATGTATAAAATAATGCCTACACAAAAGTGAATAAATTAATTTCCAGTCTCTTCTGCAAGAAGAAAATTGACTAGCCTATTTAAAATGTGTTTTTAATGGTTTAAACATGTTCAAAACCAAAGACACAAACCAGAATACATTAACCTGACAATATTAAAAGGTGCTACTTTTCATTTAGTTGTGTCTATCAAATATATAGTCAGAGAAATCACCTAAATGAACTCATCCTCATAGAGTTAGCCTTACACTTTCAGACAAACTTATTTAAAAAAACTTCATGATCTTGGGTCAAAGAGTTCTTCGACATGACACCATAAGAATGACTCAGAAAAGTAAAAAAAAAAAAAAGATGATAAATTGGACTGGGAAAAAATTTCTGCAAATCATATATCTGCCAAATGACTTGTATCAAGCATGCATAAAGAACTCAAAACTCAACAGAAATAAAACAAATTTTTAAAAAGTAGGTAAAATATTTTAATTAAAGAAGGTATATGAATGGCAAATAAGCACAAGAAAAAATGTTCAACATTGTTAACCATCAGGGAGAAGTAAATTAAAATCACAATGAGGTACAATGACAGACTTATAAGAATGGCCAAAAAAAAAAAAAAAGATAAAACAACACAAAGGTTGGCAAAGATGTAGAACTACTGAAAAAGCATGAAGTGTTAGTGAGAATGTAAAATGATTCAGATATTTTGGAGAATGATTTTGTCATGTTTCTCTTAAAGTTATAATATGCACCTATATATGACCTAGCAATCCCATTCCTAGGTATTTATTCTAGAAAAAAAAAACCCTTATGCTCACACAGAAACATGTACATGAATATTTATAGCAGCTCTATTAAAAATTGCAGAAACTGGAGACCACCGTAATGACCTCCAACGGGTGACTGTATAAACACACTGTGGTATGTCCATGAAAAGGAATTTTACTTGGTAATAAAAATGCAATAACTGGGATGAATCTCATTTTGTTGTGTAGAAGAAACCAGTCTCAGTGTCACATACTGTATGATTCACTTTAAATGACTTTGTTAAGAAGACAAAATGTAGTAATAGAGAGCATTAGTACTTGTCAAGGGATCGGGTGAAAAAGTGGTGTGATTAAGAAATACTAGCATGAGCATGTGTTTGGGAGTGATATAAATATTATGTATCTTTATTGTGGTGGTGGATACGCAAATCTATACATGTGCTAAAATTTACAGAGATATACACACCAAAAAGTCAAGTTGACTAATTTTGGGGATTTCAAAAAAACAACACACAAAGACTTAAAAAAAAAAAAAAAAAAAAAAAAAGGAAAAGTTTGGGCATCTTTGGAGAAACAGGACTTGCCCTGGAATTAAAACTTAAGAGAAAGTTTCTCCCATGAAGTTTCTTTAAGAAAACACTGTGCTGAAGTTAACAACAGGCAAATAAATTCCTATTCAATTTATGTGGCTCAGCATTCGCCAAACCAGGAATATAGTACAATCAATTTATATTAATGAATCTTGGTAGCTCTAGGTCTCCTTCTGCTTCTATTGGAATTTTGGGTCCTGAAAAAATGTCTTTTTTCCTCAAATATTTATAATCATTCATCTTTTCATTTGGAAAGCTGTTCTAGTGGTTGCTCAGATTTGACACTAGCAAAGTCAGGCCTTGATCATGTGCTATACCAAGATGAGCTGCATGCATGAGCCTAATGGCAACTGTCTCAGTGATATTTCAGTCAATGTCCTGCTATCAAAGTAGCTAAGATTATGGGACAGTCAGTCAACAGGTGTCACATAAATGCCCTGGAGCACTGAGGTTCTGACTCACTCCTTTTATCTTTGTGACTCTTCAGGGGTACTGCCATCCCTCTGCAGCCTGGTTTCTGTTGCCTACCTAAACCCACACCATAATTTCACCAGATTTGGTTTCTTATTATTGAACCCCAACTACGATCAAATTTATCTCCTTTCTTTTTCTGAAGAGGCTTCTCAGGCACTGTGCAAATCATAGTGACAATTACTATGAATCATTGTGTGAAATGAGGAATGTCAGCTAATTCCAAGGGTAAGTTTTGTACAGCTCCTTTAATAACATTCCTCAATGCAAACTGAGATTGTACTTATTTTCATTTAATGTATAAGTTACATATTTAATGTAACTTATAAGTTACATTAAAATACAATGCAGAGCAATCAATCGAAAGAGATCACTCTCTAAGATCACAAGAGTTAATTCAGTGTACCAGTTTGTAGAACACTGAGAAGACTGAATGGATTTCACATCCTTTAGGTAATTCTCCTGAACTGTTTGTAACTGGGCTTTAGGTGAGGGTTGGGCAGCTGCAGTGGAGAATTTTAAATTATATGTTCTGGCAAGGACCAAGAGTGTACAATGACTATAGGGTCAATTACAGAAGTAGCTGTGCTTTGAGAAATAAACCAAAACAAAACTCTAGCAACTCCATCTCAATAGATGTGAGTGAAGAAAGACATAAAAGGCAACTTCGTGATATTTTTTAGAAATGTATTGCTGAGTCCCTCAAAAGCTGTATCAGAAGTAGCAAAAAGTGTTGTGGAATATTAGGAATCAGTACAGTGTAGTGATTGAGAAATCACCCTGAGGATTCAGCCAGAACTTAGTTGGAATCAGTCTCAGATGCTTGTTGGCTAAATTAATATGTTAATAGATTACCTTGGCAACTAGTTAATTATTTTATGTTTTACTTTCTCTATGTGAAAAGTGACAATAATAATAGTAACATCAGCCTACATTGGTTAAGACTTATTTGAAATATGCACATATAGCCCTTCATATAATGGTATGGATAAAATACGTGCTAAATAAATATTAGCAAATACCATTACAAACCCATACATCCAGAGTCTTGTGATCCAATTAACTTTGGAAATATTGGGGTAGATTAATTTTAGAAGGCTTTAAAAATATTTTTCAGGACCTTTTAAATGTGAATGTGCATTGTGAATCTGTGAGAAGGTGGAAGTGTGTAGCATTTCTCAAAATGAGTTGAACACAATACTTATTTCTCAGAGCATACCAAAAGAACTAGGGTGCCATGGAAGCTACTTTAATAAATACTATTGCTTTCTCTAGGAGTTTGCTATAAAATTTTATCAAAGTGGCCATTTTGACATAGCAATTTTGATATAATCATTTTAATAAAAAAGATAATATAAGGCTTGACATAATTGCATAAAAATGACTTTTGTTTTAATTACAATGTAATGTGCACAGACCATATTCCTGATCCTCCCCCATTACAATAGCCACCTTCTACTTTATTAATTTCCATGTAATTTTGAAATTTTTTAGTCTGTATTAGTTTTATACCCCAGAAAAATATGTTGTCTAGTTTTATTTAGGTTATGTTATCTCAGTTATCTTAAAACCATCATTTAAAGGTTCACTTATGGCATTGTATTTTTCTGAAACAGCTAAGGAAAATATTTAATTGAAGATTAACTATACAGTTGACAGCTGAATATAAGAAATCTTTTTATGGGCTGGATGTGGTGGCTCACGCCTGTAATCCCAACACTTTGGGAGGCAGAGATGGGCGGATCACCTGAGGTCAGGAGTTCAAGACTAGCCTGGCCAACATGACGAAACCCCATCTCTACCAAAAATACAAAAATTAGCTGGACGTGGTGGCATGTGGCTGTAATCCCAGCTACTAGGGAGGCTAAGGCAGGAGAATCGCTTGAACCCAGGAGGCGAAGGTTGCAATGGGCTGAGATCACCCACTGTACTGCAGCCTGGGCCACAGAGTGAAACTCCATCTCAAAAAAAAAAAAAGAAAAAAGAAATATTTTTTATGGACACAAATTTTCCCTTCACCTTTTTAGTCCAGTGCCTAATATAGATTCAATCAAACAAAATTACCACAGTTAAGAAGTTTACATAAGCAGATTAATTTGTCCTGTAGATTTTTAAGTGGAAAGCAAAATAAATTCCATTAGTATTCTAAAATTATTATTGGAAAGTAAATAAGTATGACCATCATAATGTTTAAAGAGTAATTAGTGAGTATGAGAGGGAAAATCACTCAGAATAGCAAGTAATTGTTAGGAAATTAGCAAACATTGTGCTTTATATGATTGAAATTCATTTCTGAACTAAGCTGGTGTGGTGCACATGTCTTTGGTTTATACATTATTTGACACTGATGGTGCCAAACTACTACATCCTCCTTCACCCCATCTCTGAGCACATGTCCTTCCTGACCCCTACCAATATGTCTGAGACTCAGTCTAATCCTTATCTCTAACCGACACTATTCCCTCTCTCTAGCCATCTATGTAGCCCAACCTTACCTTCAGGACAACTTCAGGGTCAGGAGTGAGGTTCAGCAATGGAATGAGGTTCAGGAATTATTAAAAATATAAACTTAATATGTTTTTTGGGTTCTGTGACATCACATTCTCCTGTTTTTTCTTATATTTCTCTGATAGTTTCTTTTCAGATTTCCTTGCCACATCATCCGCTCTAATTTCCAATTATTAAGGTTTTTTAAAAAAAGTCCTATGTTCTAGCCTCAAGGACACAAGTATTCCCAATGCACAAGAAAAACAGAGAAAAATTCAAACTGCCATTGCAGCTTCCCACATCCTTTCTGCCTTACATTAGGACATATGGGACATACATAAACCCATATATAATATACATAAAATTTCACTTACGTACTTGTGCATACTTACCAAAAAATGAATCACAAACTTCTGATTTCATACTATGATAGTAATAGAGTTTATGTGATGTTCTCCATAGAGAACATCTTATAGATCAACAGATTTTAGGTTTATTATAAGCCATTCTAGGAATATTAGGTATGTCTCCTAAAATAATTATTATTACACCTAGTTTGGTGAAGAGGAGACTGAGGTTTGGAGAGCTTGAGTAACTCGCTTATCATCACATCATCAGTAAGTGGATAAGAAGAAAAAGGTCAACAGCAGGTCTGCAATTTATTCTTTCCCTTTACTGGGGAACATCCCAGGGGAAAAAAAAAGAAAGGTAATATGATCAAATTCCTTGTAAATATGGTAACAATAGGCATGCTGGAAAGCACATGAGTAGTATTTTGTAATGAAAGAATCCTTACCTATGTAATAATAGGTTTTTATTAGGATTAATTAGTATAAGTTAAGCTTCAGAAAAATGCCCAGCACTTGGTGAGTGCTCTCTAAGTAGTAGATATTAAGACAGCTCCAGTCTAAATCTCCTTTCTTAGTTTCAGTTTCACACACCCAAATGTCTGCTTCACAACTTCAGTTAGATATTTTAAGGTAATTCCAAACTCATGCACAAAACTGAGTTCATAATCTCTTCTACCAGTCTCTCAACCCCACCACAGATTCTGCTTCTGCAACAATATTAGTGAGTAACACAGTCCAGTCATTCATCTAACAGCTCATGAAGGAAGCCTTGCAATCATTCAAGAATCCTTCTTTCATATACACCAATACTCAATTTCTGTAGATGGTTGATGCTCAAATATGCCTACTTTTCCCAGAATCCTTTGTCAACACTCAATCCAGACTCTCTTAGGCTCTTACCATAATTACTTAGAATTTCTCCCAATTTGTTTTCCAAATTCATATGCTCTACCTTTCTCCCAAAGCACAGCTTCAATCGTGTTACTTCTCTACTTAAAGTGGTCAATGGTTTCCCATTGCTTTTAGAATATAGACCAAAATCCTCAGTATAGAACTATATCCCTACATCATCTGGGTTCTGCTTCTCTAGGGAGACTCATTTGTGTTTCCTATTTTTTCCTTGCCTCAATTTTTTTTCAATGTCCTGAATGATCCTTTATTCCTAGTGCCTCAGATTTCTCACACATTATGTTCTGTATTTGGAATGATCTCACCAATCTTTGACATAGTTTACTACATTTCATTGTTTTGAGCACAGCATGGACATCACTTTTTCAATAAGCCTTTCCTTGACCCCCAAGAGAAATCGGGTATTTCTATTAGAAATCTGCATTTTCCCTTTATAGCCTTCATGACAGTGAAAATTAAATCATTATGTAATTTTTAGTATAGGTGTTTTTTCCTAGGAAAAGGTAAATTTCATAGAGAAAAAGACTTTGTTCACAACTGTATTTCTGAGGAACCTTAGTTTTTGGCTTTTGGTAAGATAGCATTTTTTTTTTCTTTCTATTTGACAATAGCAAAAATGACATGACTTGCTTTTAGTATTCATAAAACTATTTGTATATGAAAATCATATCAAGGAGGCTGCATGAAAATGTCCTGACTAGAGAAATGTCTTAATATTACATACAGGAATCATGCAATTATTTTGCAATGTAAATGCCTGGCGAATTATCTAGGAAATGTTGATTATATGTAACTGAATTAGTTAATACATTATGTAGAATTTTTGGAGCTAAGTTATATAAATAGTGAAATACAACTGCCCAAGGGATGATTTCTGTTTTCAAAGAGTTGGTCTGAACCACAGATTCTAAGTCATATTTAGTCATATTAAATTACCACCAGTATTTTTAAGTTAAGACAGTATAACTATCATCAGTTTGGATTATAAGTAATATCTTTCTGTCAGCATAGCAGTTGGTCCTGAATCTTGATCTGACAAATATGATTTTCTGTACCTAACATAACCAATATTCTTAAGAAGGCGACAAGATAAGCCATAAACATTTTATAAACCAGTGTCTCAAACGATGTAAATACTCAATTTGCTCATCAATAGTGACTGGCTCTTACAGTTTTAGTGAGGTTTATACTCTGTGGAAGTATCTTTACCCAGGAGCACATTTTGAGCTTATATCATTTGTTCCATCATTGGTTGCTGTACAGAGTCAAAAGCTGAGTAAAACACAGCAGCAAGATGAATACAGTCTAGAAACAATCCCATTATGTTCTTAACACGTTCCTCCATATGGTACTAATAACAGTACTAATCTATTTGCTTAAATTTTGCCTCTTTCTCAGTAATGTGCTGTCCTGAGAAACACAGATTAACAATTTTTTGTAAAGGAAACCAAAATACAATGTAAAGAGTATGTCCAGAAAACTGCTGAATTTATACTTTAGGAAAAATAGGTGTATCTTTTAGAAAGATTAGCCTCTTACCTGAGACTATACTTAAGTTCTTTATCAATAAAGATGTAAACTGGCAATACTTAAAACCTTTAACTTGAGTAGACACTGAACTATTTGGGTGACAAAAAGTCTCAATTGGACAATTCTTTAAAGTTGAGTTTTATAATCTGGTGTGGTATGATTGCTAGTACCACATCAAAAAGAAATGGAAACCAATACGATTCTGGGCCCCTTTCTTGAGTGTAAATCTGTAATACATGTACCTTTCAATTTCTACAATTTGTTGGAACTAACACGCATATTTTAATATTACAGTCTGTCCACTTATTATGGCAAAGAACAACCACAAATTTCAGGGACTGGAGTTATTCCAGACAGTGGTTTTCTGATTTCCTTAGAGAATTAATTCTGAATGTTTTCAAATGAGTCTCTGATGAGAAAACAAGCAAAAAACAAAAACAAAACAAAAAGGAAAACAACTGCACATACTTATTTCACATGTGTAGAAAGCAGATA
Organism: Homo sapiens; assembly: GCF_000001405.40. Taxonomy (NCBI): domain Eukaryota; kingdom Metazoa; phylum Chordata; class Mammalia; order Primates; family Hominidae; genus Homo; species Homo sapiens. The sequence continues at coordinate 193,583 of NW_017363818.1, read as the reverse complement.
ACCTCCTCTTGGACAAAGTGTAAAATGAGGACACTCAAGTTTTTGTTTCTTTTGTTGTTGTTGTTGTTTGTTTTTTGAGATGGAGTCTTGCTCTGTTGCCCAGGCTGGAGTGCAATGGCACCATCTCAGCTCACTGCAACTTCCACCTCCCAGGTTCAAGCGATTCTCCTGCCTCAGCCTCCTGAGTAGGCTGGGATTACAGGCGTGTGCCACCATGGCTAATTTTTTGTATTTTTAGTAGAGACAGGGTTTCACCGTGTTAGCCAGGATGGTCTTCATCTCCTGACCTTGTGATCCACCCACCTCAGCCTCCCAAAGTGCTGGGATTACAGGCGTGAGCCACCGCACCCGGCCAAGGTTTTGTTTCTTAAGTGGAGCAGGCTATTTTGTAGAAGGTGGAGACAATGTCTTGGCAGTCAGTAAACTTCATGTACAAATCCAAGTGATCTTATTTGCAGAGTCCTTGAGTAGCATTTTAAATGTTCTTCAACCAAGAATTTACCCATGTTTCAAAGCCTCCTATGTGATCTCAAGATTTATTTTTCTTTGCTTCTCCAAGATGTTTTCAGTTACTTCTCCTTCCAAAATGATTTCCCTAGCTGGCTACTTTACAAGGGAGAAATTTACCTGCCACTCTGAATTAAATTCAAGGAAGACAGTTAAATACACAACCAATTGTTTATCAGACTGATGAAGCAACAGAATCAGCTAGCTCCGTTCTCAGAAGACTCCACATTTTTCATTAATACCAATGCTTGAGGGATAAAACAACAAAGTGATTGATTAAATTCTTCATTCACTTTGCATATGTAGACATTCTCAGTTTCTTACCTTCTCAGGATCAGATTTTGTTTGGTTGTTTTTTTAAAAAAAATTCTGTAACTAAATTATGCACCCTTTTAGGAGTAATCTGTTTTTGAAAAAAAAGTAAATATTTTTGGAGGTTGTGATTGCCATTTTAGGGTGTTCAAGATTGCTGCTTTCTGGCAGTAAATATCCACAGAAGAAGACAAACAAGTTCACATCATGAATCTTCTTGTAGTGTCATAGGACTTGAAAAGATGCTGGCATGTAATCTGTATATAAATTTACTACTTTTATTACTGATAATTATAGCCAAAAATCTTCACAAATCAGTAATGCTTATCACAGATGATGAGTACTATAATCTAACAGTATATTTGTGTGCCTTTATCTAAAAAAAAACAAACTAAACAAACAGACCCCAAAATTCCACAATATATTTCTCTCACATCTTTTTCTTCTATAGAATGAAGAAATAAATCTCTCAGACTACTTAGGAAGAAATTTTACAGGTAGACCATGTACTATGAATGAGAGACTTCTCTGTGGATTTTCTGGGTATGATAGAATCTGTTTTAACGCTTTACAGCTAAATCAGAATAGTTAATAATAAGACAGTGCTAAACCTGTGTCTTCAGGAAGATATAGAAGAAATTCACTCCTAAACCATGAGGGTATCAACACTATGTGGAATCACAAATGAGTCAGAACTTCTTGACCTCTTAGATTATAAAAAGATGAATGTTGTTAGTGGAATGAGGAATTTTGTAACAAAATCCACCCAAACATGTGATGTATATATTGATTTTGTTGATAAAATTCACCAGAGTCCAAATTATCTCCCAGGAAGTCCAAGTAGTGTGGACTTCTCAGTCTAAAGCCTTTGCTTGATTCTCTTATCTCCTATCCTATTGCCCAACTTGATACTGAAATCATGTAAGTGTAGACCTGAAAGAGCTCAAAGGCATTATGAAATCAAAATCTTCCATCCTTATGTTCTCCAATAGTGAAATTTTAGTGACTTTTTGACATAAAATTGATACCAGACCTTATGTCAAGACCATGTGCTCCTTGATTGTACAGTCATTGTCTTATTCATCTACCACTCAGCACCACACCATACACATTGTAGACACTCCATTATTTTTGAATGAACACAGTTAATTAATAAATAACTCCTGCTAGCCAAGTGTGGGGGTTAATATTGTCAACTTGATTGGATTGAAGATGGGAAGTACTGTTCCTGGGTGTGTCTGCGAGGGTGTTGCCAAAAGAGATTAACATTTGGGTCAGTGGACTGGGAAAGGCATATCCACCTTCAATCTGGATGGGCACAATTTAATCAGTTGCCAGGAAGGTTAGAACAAAAGCAGGCAGAAGAATGTGGAAAGACTAGATTGGGTTCCTGCCAGTGGGTTCATGGTATCACTGACTTCAAGAATGAAGCCGTGGACCTTCGCTGTGAGTCTTACAGCTCTTAAAGATGGCACGGACCCAAAGAATGAGAGGTAGCAAGGTTTATTGTGAAGAGCAAAAGGACAAAGCTTCCACAGCGTGGAAGGGGACGTGAGCAGGTTGCCACTGCTGGCTGGGGTGGCCAGCTTTTATTCCCTTATTGTCCCCACCCATGTTCCATTTCCATCCTATCACAGTGCCCTTTTTTCAATCCTCCCCGCGATTGGCTACTTTTAGAATCCTGCTGATTGGTGCGTTTTACAGAGTGTTGATTGGTACGTTTTACAGAGTGCTGATTGGTGCATTTTACAATCCTCTTGTAAGACATGAAAGTTTCTGATTGGTGCATTTTACAATCCTCTTGTAAGACAGGAAAGTTCCCCAAGTCCCCACTCAACCCAGGAAGTCCAGCTGGCCTCACCTCTCAAGACTTCACCTTGTGATTGCATGAGTCAGTACTCCTTAATAAACTCCCCTTTATATATACATCTATCCTATTAGTTCTATCCCTCTAGAGAAACCTGACTAATACACCAAGACAGATCTTGTTTTTTTTTTTTGTTTTTTTTTTTAAATTATACTTTAAGTTTTAGGGTACATGTGCACAATGTGCAGGTTAGTAACATATGTATACATGTGACATGCTGGTGCACTGCACCCACTAACTCGTCATCTAGTATTAGGTATATCTCCCAATGGTATCCCTCCCCCCTCCCCCCACCCCACAACAGTCCCCAGAGTGTGATGTTCCCCTTCCTGTGTCCATGTGTTCTCATTGTTCAATTCCCTCCTATGAGCGAGAATATGCGGTGTTTGGTTTTTTGTTCTTACGATAGTTTACTGAGAATGATGATTTCCAATTTCATCCATGTCCCTACAAAGGACATGAACTCATCATTTTTTATGGCTGCATAGTATTCCATGGTGTATATGTGCCACATTTTCTTAATCCAGTCTATCATTGTTGGACATTTGGGTTGGTTCCAAGTCTTTGCTATTGTGAATAGTGCCGCAATAAACATACGTGTGCATATGTCTTTATAGCAGCATGATTTATAGTCCTTTGGGTATATACCCAGTAATGGGATTGCTGGGTCAAATGGTATTTCTAGTTCTAGATCCCTGAGGAATCGCCACACTGACTTCCACAATGGTTGAACTAGTTTACAGTCCCACCAACAGTGTAAAAGTGTTCCTATTTCTCCACATCCTCTCCAGTACCTGTTGTTTCCTGATTTTTTAATGATTGCCATTCTAACTGGTGTGAGATGGTATCTCATTGTGGTTTTGATTTGCATTTCTGTGATGGCCAGTGATGGTGAACATTTTTTCATGTGTTTTTTGGCTGCATAAATAAATGTCTTCTTTTGAGAAGTGTCTGTTCATGTCCTTCGCCCACTTTTTGATGGGGTGTTTTTTTTTTTCTTGTAAATTTGTTTGAGTTCATTGTAGATTCTGGATATTAGCCCTTTGTCAGATGAGTAGGTTGGGAAAATTTTCTCCCATTTTGTGGGTTGCCTGTTCACTCTGATGGTAGTTTCTTTTGCTGTGCAGAAGCTCTTTACTTTAATTAGATCCCATTTGTCAATTTTGTCTTTTGTTGCCGTTGCTTTTGGTGTTTTAGAGATGAAGTCCTTACCTGTGCCTATGTCCTGAATGGTAATGCCTAGGTTTTCTTCTAGGGTTTTTATGGTTTTAGGTCTAACGTTTAAGTCTTTAATCCATCTTGAATTGATTTTTGTATAAGGTGTAAGGAAGGGATCCAGTTTCAGCTTTCTACATATGTCTAGCCAGTTTTCCCAGCACCATTTATTAAATAGGGAATCCTTTCCCCATTGCTTGTTTTTCTCAGGTTTGTCAAAGATCAGATAGTTGTAGATACGTGGCATTATTTCTGAGGGCTCTGTTCTGTTCCATTGATCTATATCTCTGTTTTGGTACCAGTACCATGCTGTTTTGGTTACTGTAGCCTTGTAGTACAGTTTGAAGTCAGGTAGCATGATGCCTCCAGCTTTGTTCTTTTGGCTTAGGATTGACTTGGTGATGCGGGCTCTTTTTTGGTTCCATATGAACTTTAAAGTAGTTTTTTCCAATTCTGTGAAGAAAATCATTGGTAGCTTGATGGGGATGGCATTGAAACTATGGATTCACAGCCGAATTCTACCAGAGGTACAAGGAGGAACTGGTACCATTCCTTCTCAAACTATTCCAATCAATAGAAAAAGAGGGAATCCTCCCTAACTCATTTTATGAGGCCAGCATCATCCTGATACCAAAGCCGGGCAGAGACACAACCAAAAAAGAGAATTTTAGACCAATATCCTTGATGAACATTGATGCAGAAATCCTCAATAAAATACTGGCAAAACGAATCCAGCAGCACATCAAAAAGCTTATCCACCATGATCAAGTGGGCTTCATCCCTGGGATGCAAGGCTGGTTCAATATATGCAAATCAATAAATGTAATCCAGCATATAAACAGAACCAAAGACAAAAACCACATGATTATCCCCATAGACGCAGAAAAGGCCTTTGACAAAATTCAACAACCCTTCATGCTAAAGACTCTCAATAAATTAGGTATTGATGGGACGTATCTCAAAATAATAAGAGCTATCTGTGACAAACCCACAGCCAATATCATACTGAATGGGCAAAAACTGGAAGCATTCCCTTTGAAAACTGGCACAAGACAGGGATGCCCTCTCTCACCACTCCTATTCAACATAGTGTTGGAAGTTCTGGCCAGGGCAGTTAGGCAGGAGAAGGAAATAAAGGGTATTCAATTAGGAAAAGAGGAAGTCAAATTGTCCCTGTTTGCAGACGACATGATTGTATATCTAGAAAACCCCATTGTCTCAGCCCAAAATCTCCTTAAGCTGATAAGCAACTTCAGCAAAGTCTCAGGATACAAAATCAATGTACAAAAATCACAAGCATTCTTATACACCAATAACAGACAAACAGAGAGTCAAATCATGAGTGAACTCCCATTCACAATTGCTTCAAAGAGAATAAAATACCTAGGAATCCACCTTACAAGGGACGTGAAGGACCTCTTCAAGGAGAACTACAAACCACTGCTCAATGAAATAAAAGAGGATACAAACAAATGGAAGAACATTCCGTGCTCATGGGTAGGAAGAATCAATATCGTGAAAATGGCTATACTGCCCAAGGTAATTTACAGATATTGTTTTTTAACCAGTCACTTTAAAATGTGATACCTGGACCATTCACATCAGCAACACTTTGGAATTTTTGGAAATGTCAAATATTGGTCCCCAATACAGATGTAATGGGCCAGAAATTCTGGGTTTTAAATAGTCCTCCAGTGATTCTGATGCACATCGACATTTGAAATAAATGCTAAAGGAGTAGTGTTCAACCCTAGTTACTCATTAGAACTACCTAAAGAAATTTAAAAACATACCAATATCTGAATCTCATCCCAGAACAGTAAGTTCAAAATATCTGTGGTTGAGTCTTTGTATTCGTATTTTAAAAAGCTCTAAGATAATATAATTAGGTGTAGCCGAAGCAGCAAATCACTATTCTCATCCCAAGTTGTGTGTGTGTGTGTGTGTGTGAGAGAGAGAGAGAGAGAGAGAGAGAAAGAGAGAGAGAGAGAGAAATAGTTAGGCATCAAAGTCTATGAAAAAATTAAATTAACTGGTTCAAATGTAGCTATAGTCACCGTAGTATCATCAAAATTGTCCTCCCAATTTCACTTCTCTCTATTTCAATCACTTTTTTCAAACCTTATTCTTCCTGAATTTTTTTCGTTTTCTTCTTTTGCAGTCTTCCTCCAATAACCCTTAAATTATAACCCAGTTTCTCCAGCCAGATTCATAAAAAATTACAAAGACATATTCCTAAAAGACTGGGGGAAAATTTTATTTTTTTCTGTTTACTGTAATACCTAACCTCATTCATAGACTTTTTTGTTGTTGTTTCAGATGTAAAACTGGCTATCTCATTAAATTTTGTTTTTAGGTTTCTCCCCCAAGTAACATACACCTACAGGTTTGATATATTTTTGCAAATTATCTCATTATGAAATATTTTGTTTCATTAGCTATAAAGGTCTATATTAAAGTAAGGTATTATTATTAATTGGGAATTAAATTCCTGGAAGATAGATAACATGTTTATTTACCTTTGTATCCAACACTTGAAAAAGCCCTGGGCACTCCAGAGTTCAACTAGGCTAGTTTTAATAGTATTTCATTGATTAAATTTTTCTGTGGACATAAAATCAACGCAAATAAGAACTTTGAAACCGTGACTTTAATAACTGAGTTATAAGTTACAAGATAGTGATAGAATCATATATAAGGTATAATGGATGTAAAAGAAAAGTAATAGGACATTTTCATAAATTGATGGCAGGATAGCAATAATGATAACTGGAAGAATAAAGGATATCTTAGAAGAAACATGAAAAATAGTACTTCGAAAACATAACACTTTAATTATATGCACTCAATAAATATAGATTATAATAATGGTGATGAAAATAATGATGAGGAAAAGGAGGAGGAAGGCGAGGAGGACAAGGAGTTTGATTGAGGCATTCTGTCTACAATCTATGCTAAACGCAGTTCCTAAGAGTTCCTTTACCTACTGCCAACCCCCTCACCCTGAAAAAAAAAAAACAATATGAATAACTCAACAATTGAGACATTGAATTCAGGAATATTTGAAATAAATGCTATTTCTCTTCTTGATTTTTCCATCTGACTTTAGGTAGGTTAAATGACTTTTCTGAGACTGTTTTTCTTATGTGGGTTGCTGTGGAATTTAAATAAAATCATGTACCTAAGCTGCCTTGTAGAACGCCTAGCATATAATAGACAGTCAAATAAACCGGATTATCTTCTCTCTTTTTTCTTGAAAATATTCATGCATACATTTAAGTAAAATTATAAGTGTTGTTGTATTTAGTTTTATTTCTATTGATTTGTGAGAGCAAAACTTAGAACATAGGATCAACATTTTTAATAGCATTTCTAATCATATTCCCTTGTAAGCTTTTGGCCTAAGATCTGATTCTGTTTTGTGTGTTCTTTGACTGGTGATTGTTTCACACTTGTCTGAGGAGGAAAAAAGATATTTAAGAATTTAAAAAATGCTGAATTCTACCCTGCTCATTTAGTATTTCAGTAGTCAGAGCATCACCATTATCATATGTTATTTATTGGTAAAGAACTGTGAAAAGGTTTGATCCTCCTTATCCTTTCCCAGAATATTGTATTTGAATAACTACAATAATTTAGAGTAAAGCATTCTCCCTTATATTTTACCAACAACCCCTTTGACCTTCTCCAGAACGTTAGTGCTATGAAAGAAATAATTTTCCCCTACTTTGATGTGTAGTACAAGTTGTCTTAAATAATTTGTCATGAAGGCCTTTTTGCAGAAACAAAACCAACAATAGGAAAGGCTATTTCCCATTACCAAGGTGGAATGACTCGGACTGCAGATGAAAAAGTGATTTATATAAATGAAAGAACATACCTAGACCACATAGAAAAATTCTTCTGGAGTGATCATCATGAAGTTGATTATGTCTGCTTGCTATTTCAGTAGGAATAAAAAACAAAGCTATTCTCCCCTGACTCTTAGCGGTACTTGAGGAAGAACTATTAATACAAATAGCTATATAGTATTCTTTGAAATAAAATTATTTTCAATACATTTGAAATATTTCATTTGATCACTATTATTAGTTGTGTTTAGGGATATGTTAAAGTAGAAAGAAACTCAGACTGAGAATATGGGGACAAACAGCACTTTCAAACTTTAACATTCTGGAATGTATTAAGACTCTTTTCAAAGTTTACTCATTTCCTGATTTTTGGTTGCTTTGGAAATCCTTAAATCATTGATAATTGTTTTCATATTTGAACGTATATCAAAGCTTACCCTCTAGGGTGTTTAAAGCCTGCATATGTAGTTTGAGAGTTATGAAATCACTCCAATGATAACAAGGTATTTAATTTAAAATAAGTGTGTAGTTGGATATTACCCACAACACTGAAAAGGAAATGAAAATAATGGTCCAATGGCTTGAATTCATTAGGTTCTGCCTGAGACAGGATTTACATATGCATCTCTTGTGAAAGGATAAGAAGGGAATCAACTCCCCACTTCCCCATCCCTTCTAAATGTCTACCAAATGCCATTGTTTAATGTTTAATGAATTCCTACAGGTAGATGGCAAAAGCCATAATATAATTAGCAAGGTCAACAAAGAAGAAAACTCAGGAGGCCCAGTGGAGTATGGCATATTACTTAGGAGAAATGAAAAGGCTGAAATCTATTAAACATTAAGGATGTTTGCAGAGTATTTCCCTTGAGATATTAGAGACTTTAGGGTTCCTCCTCGGCAGGTTTCTTTTTTTACCTCCAGATTCTTAAAAGAAGGATAAAAAAGTGCATTTTTCTAGCACAGAAATTAAAAGGAGGGGATGATGGCTGTATAGTATAAACAGTCCATAAATATTGCACAGGAGTTTTTACCTTAAAAATGAAAAAAACTCATCATACCATAGTCTTGAAGCCAAATGAACTTGAGAGAAGAGAATTGGGGGAGGATGGCAGATTGCTCACAGAATTCCAACATCCTTAAGAAATCCACAGCCATGCTCCCTACTGAATGTTGAGCATGGAGATGCCAAGAGGAATATGCTAGGGCTGAAAAATGGCTTATACTGTAGACCCTATTCAGAGGACAAGAGAAAGAGTGTGTGGAAGAGCGTGAGACAAAAAGAGAGAAATAAGTAAGAAATGGGAGTGGTGAAAGTTACGAATGTACAGTAATGCAGAAACTAATTTATATGCTTGGCCAGATGGGGCTAAATAAATATAACTTGGAAATGATGTAGAATATTACCAAAAATTTGGCTAAACTACTTGAAATGCAATTAGCAGTCATTTTACTCTGTGACCAGGTTTCTTTCATTATCTGAAACTTATTTTTCTTAGAATAAGGTTAATATTTGTAGAAGCATTAGTACATTAAAACATAGCACTTGGGACTTCTATGCATTATTAATGCCTCTCATCCTTCTCCCAACTTCTAACTTGCCTTCATACCTAGCTAATGTAAAGAAAGAGCCAGAAGGTTCAAAACTAATCATTTTTGTACCTGCAACAAAGAAACCAATGTGGGTGTTAACAATAATTGAATGCTTAATGATTTATAATTAGTAATTGTTCTCTCATCATCTTCTGAATTCATCTAGAATTGTTTCTTTCCTTAAAAGAAGCCTATATGTGTTAGAAATAATCCATATCTTTATTGTGACGGTAAGGGCGCATCTCTGTCAAAAATTATTGAAATATACATTTAAAAGTCGATTTTATAATGTATACACATTACACCTCAAGAAATAACTTATTTAAAAGTCCAGAACTTTTAAAAATATATAGTAAAACAAAAGAGTTAATGTGTCAGTAAAAGAGAACATAACTTTGGGGCTGATACATATCTGTACACTGTGACACCCTCCTGAAAGATTGTTTACAACTGGCCTCCACTCTCGGTGGTGGGTTGGTGCAGTGGAGCTGTATTGATTGTTAATTATTTTGAATGTGACCTCTGAATTAATCATAAGAATCCAAAATTAACCTAACTATATAAAAGAGGTAAACAAGATAATAATACATTCATTTAATAATTCATCACAAATGAAACCAAAATGAGATAGACATCAAGGGCAAAATCAGTTTGGGATATACATTATAAAGTCTTTTCAGTGCTGTTTATTGAAATTACATCCATGTTTCATTATTTTTAAGCCCATTATGAGCACAATGAAGGAATTTAGAGCATACTTTTAGATAGAACAGAATGCATATTCTGATTTTGACAAACACTTTTTAATCTGGTTCCTCAAAAGGGATGTTATTATTATTTTATTATTTGTATCAAAAACTTTTTATAAAGGTTAAATGAAATAAACCAATGTCTGGCTCATAGACACTAAAGCAAATGTTCATGCTATTATCCTCTTTTTATAACACTTAAGTACATTTGGGAGAATGAAGGTCTTTAGAGGCTCATGCCCATCTACACTGACAGCAGAATGGTTTTCAATTTTTTTGTATATGTGGACCATTGTCCAAAGAAACACAGCACAAATGGCAGTCAAATAAATTACCCCCTCCACCGCAACACAAGGCTATGCACTAGTTTATATGATTTTTCCTTTGGTAAATTGAACCCAGAGTCAAAAATTAAGTCAAACATGTCAGAAATAATCCCTTGTTTATTTTTACTTTTTATGTGTCATTTGAAGAATGGGAACAGGCATTTTAAACATTATCAAAGTGACACCACATACTTGCTCACATTACTGATTTGAGAAACAAGAATTGCTGAAAGAAAATCAATTTCAAACATGGAGCAATACTATGTTTTGCTATAAAACTATAAATCGTTGGCTGAACATTTTTATAGATCACCTTCTATATCATTGATTTATATCATACTGTATACAGCAATTTGAAATCTTCACTTATCACCAATCCCCCATAACAAGAGTTCATTTAAGTGGTAGTCCAAAAGCAATAGCAATTAGCTTTCAAACGTGTTTGAATTTAATACTTACAATGCTTATTTCCTGGAAACATGATTGGATACAGTCTAAGCCATATGTACTCTGTTATAGACTTTGAGATTAAGTTACCTCCTACCATACTATGTCTACTACCACCTCTCAAATGATTCTGTTATCGCTTCATTCTACAACTGCCATCTTCATCCCCAGCAACCTCAGATGCACTGCCACTCTTAACACTATCTGCATTACCACCCCATCTTCACTGCCTAGCTTCAGCACTACTTTTTTCCTTCTTCCTTGAGGATTCCTTTACTTCTAACATGTTTTAAAAGGTATAAATAACAATGATAGTATCCCTATATTATTTCTTCATGAATATCTCCCATAATTTTCCAAGCTCAAAATGGAGTTTATTCTCCATCCTCTCAGGATACTTAGCATATCTGTTCCGAAGAAGGGATTTCACAATGGAGTTATTTGTAGGGTACATTACTTATGATTTAAAAGAGATCTAGGTTTTTGTCCATTTTTAGTTTCAGTTTTTTGCATGACTTAGCATTAGATTGGCAGTGGAAACAAAAATACTTTTTGAACAATCAGGTTTTTCATGGTTAGAAATCCAGGTGTTTTAAAAATTTTATTTATTATTCTCTAGCCAGCCAATGCAATAGGGAGAAAGTTCAGCCTACTACCAATGATCACAGAGCTATTACCCATGGCTGAAGTTTCCATCAAGTATATAAAAGCTTCTCCCCATGTGTACGATGAACAAGGAAAACTATAATAGACTTTCAGAGTTCTTCCTACTCTAGTATTATATGATCCTCTTTTATAATCAAAAGGAACTCTATGTTTTCAGTGACTTTGAATCTAAATATAGTTTTCACTAACTGAAAGCCTTTCCTATTTTAAAACCTAGAAGATTTGCCCGACCAAGAATCTGTTAATTTCAGGAATTCTGTATCAGGATTTTAGCAAGAGGTAGTGACATTGACAAAAATATAGTAATTTTATTGGAGTTTGGAGTGCCTTCATGTATTCTTGCTTATGGGTTCAAGCTAATGAGGACAATATTCACAAAGTTAAAAACAAAATTAAAGTAAGCTTTCTAAACTTGTGGTAAAGCTGCATATTAGTCCATTTTTGGACTGCTAAAAAGAAATACCCTAGATTGGGTAATTTATAAAAGAAAGGGGTTTAATTAACTCACAGTTCTGCATGGTGTGAGAAGCCTCAGGAAACTTACAATGATGGCAGAAGGGGAAGCAGGCACCTTCTTCACAAGGCATCACGACAGAGTGTGAGCATGTGAAGGAGGAACATTCAAACACTTATTATTATTTTTTGAGATGGAGTGGTGCTCTGTCACCCAGGCTGGAGTGCAATGGTCCGATCTCGGTTCATTCACTGCAACCTCCACCTCCCAGGTTGAAGGAATTCTCCTGCCTCAGCTTCCCCAGTAGCTGGGATTACAGGTGTGTGCCACCACGCCTACCTAATTTTGTACTGTTGGTACAGATGGGGTTTCACCATGTTGGCTAGGTTGGTCTTGAACTCCTGACCTCGGGTGATCCACCACCTCAGCCTCCCAAAGTGCTGGGTTTACAAGCGTGAGCCACCGCACCCGGTCTCAAACACTTACAAACCATCAGATCTCCTGAAAACACACTCACTATCATGAGAACAGCATGGGGGAAAATGCCCCCATGATCCAGTCACCTCCCACTGGGTCCCTCCCTCCCTCAACATGTGGGGATTATGGGGATTACAATTCAAGATGAGATTGGGGTGGGGACACAGCCAAACCATAACAAGCTGGATTGGAGAATGTAGCTTGGACCAGAAGCCTCATAGTTGGCTTCTGCTTTACTGAGTTGAAGACAAAGCGATTCAGAACAAATGCCTATTCTAACTCACTTATTTAGTCAATCCCAAGTAGAAAAGAGCAGGGACAATCCTAGCCTCCTTCCAATTTTACTAGAAAAGAGCAGGGACAATCCTAGCCTCCTTCCAATTTTACTATTTCCAAGAGACTTTGTTTAGGTGGACCTGATGCATGGACTTTGAAAACCAGTGCATTTCTTACTTATCCTTGAGGAAAAATGACGCCATTCAGTATTAAGAGTATGGCCCAATTAGATTAGTTCCCCTAGCAAAGAAGACAAGTAAGTAAGCTATGAGTTTGCATGGCTATTAAACCATGAGGTGTTAAGAAATATATAGGCTTTAAGAAAAGAAGAACAGTACCCAATACAAATCCCTGTAGGGAGGGAAGCAGATGTCTCTTTTTGTGTGGTCTCTCCTTCACGAGTATGAAGGAATGAAGGTACATCCTGTAGGAATCAAGGACATACATCTTTTGTTACCTCTTCAAATTCCCCTGTGAGAAGACATTAAAAACTGAGAAAATGTTTAATATCTGAGAGTGAGACATGCTCCAAGGAAACATGATTTTAATCATTATTTTTCATCTTATCAGAATTGGATTCCCTAGTACTTAATATGATCTTGGAGATAAAACGCCCTTCTCTTCACTCCAGTGCACCAAATGTAACAGATGTAAATATCGTAAATGAAGCTGAAAGATAATACTGTGTGTCTCATAGATAGAATCTTGTATACTAGAGCTTACTCATACTGTGTGGTCATGAAGCAGTCAGAAATGAGATAAATGAATGAATACATGATAATGTCTAAGAGATTATGCTAAAGGAATCAACAAACTAAAAAACAAAGGATTTCATTAAGTCTAAGGTCTGAGCACCCTGCCAAAACAGGGAAGCAAAATTAAAAGTTCATAAGCTGAATAGATTTAGTAACACAAGGTGAATAGTGAATAAAACATACATGCTCACTGCCCCTCCCTCTCAAAAGTCCTCTAACTGACAATAAAATAGTAAAGTATAAAATCCACAAGAATGACAGAAATAGATAGGAGACCACAGGCAATGAGAAATGTAAATTGTTAAAGTAATATGAGCTGTTATACTAGGTAGGTAAGTTCCAATTTCTCAGTGGCACATCACAATAGAAGCTATTTTTTTTTCTTATACAAAGTCCTAATGGATATTCCTGCTTGGCTGGCAATTCTCCAAGAAATGATTCAGAGATACAAACTCCTTCTATCTGTGGCTCCTTGTATTGGTCATCTCAGACTGCCATAACACAATACCACAGACTACATGTCTTCAACAACAGAAATTTATTTTCTCACCATTATGGAGACAGAAGTTTGAGATCAGGACATCAGCATGGTTCTGTTAAAGGATCCTAGCTTGCAAGCAACTACCTTTGCGCTGTGTCCTCACATAAGTGGAGAGAGAGAGTGCTTTAAATTTTTTAAATAAGAATAATAGTATTATCAGATTAGGGAACCAACCTATGACTTCATTTAACCTTAACTGCATTCTAAAGTCCCTATATCCGAAACAGTCACACTGGGTTTTAGAGCATGATATGGTTTGGCTCTGTTTCCCCACCCAAATTTCACCTTGAATTGCCATAAACCCACGTGTCAAGGGAGGGACCAGGTGGAGATAACTGAATCATGGCGGCAGTTTCCCCCATCCTGTTCTTGTGATAGTGAGTGAGTTCTCATGAGATCTGATAGTTTTATAAGGGGCTTCCTCCTTTGCTCAGCACTCATTTCTCTCTCCTGCCACCCTGAGCAGAGGTGCCTTCTGCCATGATTGTAAGTTCCTAAGGCCAACCCAGGCATGCAGAACTCTTGAGTCAATTAAACCTCTTTTATTTATAAATTACCAATCTCTGGTATTTCTTCACAGCAGCGTAAGAATGGACTAATACAGGGCATCGGCATATTTCTGCGGGGAGGGGGCACGATTCACAATTGCACAATTCACCCATAGCACACCTCTATCTTATGTAGGGCTTCCAAAATTATTTCAGAAGGAAGAGTGAAAGAGAATGCAGTTGCATGTCAAAGGCCACACTGCACAAGACCTTTGCATGGCATGCATTACCTCCCTTGTGTTTCATTACCACGACTCATTTGCATCGCTATAAGGCAGGCTCAGAAATATAAACCAGCTCTGTGTCCAGGAATGAAGAAAACGTAGTTGCTTAGAGATAACTTGTCTTTGTTATAGGATGTTAAGAGCAGATGGATAAGTAGGAACTGACTCAGAAGACAGAAGAAAGCAGATATCCAAACCTGGCAGGAGGATAGGGAGAGATCAACAAAGTGGAAAACTAAACTGAATTAAACTCAGAAAGCCTCAGAGATTAGGGCCATTAAGAATCTCTGAAATGTAAAGGTAAGGCAAGGCTGAAAAGAGGATCATAGAAAACTTGGATACATAAATATTAGACTTCCAGATATTTTGCTCCATTCCACCTAGTCAAGTGACTACTTATTCTCATTTCCAAAATGTAATGGAGTTTACTTAGCAGAGATGTTTGGACAGCTGAGAATAGAGAAGATATACCATGCTGATAACAACGAAATGTTTGAAAGTCAATGTGCATAGTGCTGAGAACTACTATAGCCTCTTTCTCTTTATTGAGCTGAAAAAAAAAAAAAAAACACTAGCATCCAGGATTACACTATGTCTACCTCCAGAGGTGAAGATTACCCTCAGGCTCAGGCCCAAAATTAAATGCTTATAGATATTCAATTGTGGAAAGGCCTTCCAATAAAAAAAAAAATACCAGTTACTATCTAATCACTCTCTAGTTGACTTAGGTACACAATGAGTGCCCTCATTAGTGTGTCCTCCTGCCAATTTCATTTCAGCTTTTATGTTTTACTCTGAACCATGCACCATCAGCCAAGGATCAACATACATTGGAGGAAATTCTCCAATGTAAAACAAATGAGCTTGTGAGAAACAGAGACAATACAGAGAGCAGAATAAAAGATTTTTTACAACAGTCTATAATACCCTCAGGAGATAAAATATTACATTAAAAATAACAATATAAAAAAATTCATAGCAGAAATAATATAATGATAAACAAGAAGAAAAGGCAGGAGCAAAAGAAGTTGATTAGTGATTAATGCTGTGTCACTTCCTCACCCTGTTTTTAACATCAAGCTTACACATCCAGCTCAGGAGCTTCTGCAGAGGGTGGTGACCCACTGGAACACTTATTAGAAAGTCAGACTATGTAACAAAGTGAAACCATTTATATAAAGGCTTTCATTGTTCTGTTTTTTCCCCTGCGCATTCACATTAAGTATGTTTCTTTCTCCTTCCCTGTATTTTATCTTTAGTGTGGCCCTAAGTTAAAACCTGTGTAGTCCAAAGACAACAAATTTTCCAGTTAAAAGGAAGAAATGTGTGTATGTATGTGTGTTTCTGTGTGTTTCCTTACCACTTACTAAATGGGCAATGTTGGCTGATAACTTTACTGAACTTCAAATTGTTCATCTGAAAAGCAGGGTTAATAATGCCTATTTAATATATTATTAAGAACATTACATGAGCTAAAGTAAGGCACCCTGTCTAGTACAGTGCTGATATGGTTTGGCTTTGTGTCCGCACCTGATCTCATCTCTAATTGTCATTCTCATGTGTTGAGGGAGGCACCTAATGGGAGATGATTGGATTATGGGGGCAGTTTCCTCCATGCTGTTCTTGTGACAGTGAGTTCTTATCAGATCTGATGGTTTTATAAGTTGTGCTTTCCCCTGCACTCCTCCCTCTTTCTCCTGCCATCTTGTGAAGAAGGTGCCTGCTTCCCCTTCCGCCATGATTGTAAATTTCCTGAGGCCTCCCCAGCCTGTGGAACTGTGAGTCAATTAAACCTCCTTTGTTTATAAATTACCCAGCCTCCAGTAGTATCTTTATAGCAGTGTGAAAATGGACTAATACAAGTGCCTAACATAAAGAAAGATGCTGAACAATATGAAGAAGGTTATCTTTTCTTTCTTCCTAAGAGTGTGTGAAATTCTGTGTCATATTCCATTGAAAGGGAGACCCAGTGTTAACTATATTACAATAGATGGTGTTGTTTGACCCGTTGAAGGAAAACATTTCTGTCATTCAACCAGTTTCTTGTCATTAAAAAAGAATAAACAGTTTTCTTAAAAACAAAACAAAACAAAAACAACAACAAAAACGAGGATTTGGCATTGTCTACCTGTAATCTAAATTGTTACTAAATGAAAACAGTCCCTTTGCCTTTATAAATTGTTATGGTCAAATAGTTAATAATGATATAAACAAACACTATGATGATTTAGAGAACATAAGTTATTTTATTTTCAAGGCCAAGTCCATAGTTGTCTTAATGTAAGTGTGAGCTTCCTGTGCAGAGAATCTTCCCTTCATGTACAATGAGGACAGAATGGATTACACTCCTATTTATGAATTATATTGAATTAGTAAACATTATCTTTATGAATTCTACATTTAACAAATAAAGCTTTTCTTAGCAATCTAAGTAACAGAGGTACAGTCAGAGAACAAAACTCTAATCCTGCTTTCATCTTGAATGAATAGAGTCCTATTATTCATAGCATTTCGCTCTATACACTCTGTGCCATAGAACAAATTGCTAGAATTTTGAAGAAAGCCAAATGCACTTTTCTTTTCACTTTATAATGCTTGTTTGAGAAACCCATTAAAGAAGACTGAAAGATCATCAGTCCAAGCACATGTGTCACATGGGAAAAATAGGTATAGTTACTCCAGAGAGCACCATTTCTTCCATACTCAATAATCAGCTAACATTCAAATCATAAAGAGGAAATCCCTCTCTGCAGCAGTTAAATATATAGACAGATATAACATATGTGAAGCAGAGGCTGCTATTTTAGCCCAAACAGCCATCCCAGAAAGAATGCTGAGGGAAGTGTTGTCTATATTCTCCTCCCAATTGCCAAGTGCTGCTCTGTCAGTGACCTGGGAGTGGGAGGGAGTATTGGAACTTGGTTTAAATAAAATCACAACCCCTAATTGTACAGAAAGAATATGGCTGACCAGCTGAAATAACAAATTTTAATTAGATTCTTTGCAGCTATATGTCTTTGATGTGATCTATGTTCAATAAATCTCAACAGCCCTGTGTTTTTGTTGTTGTTTTTCCATCTTCTGGTGCATGGGTTAAGCTTATGTAACATATTTGATTGATAGGAGCACAGATTGGGAATGGGAGAGGGAAACCAACCAAATTCTTTACTATTTCTACCAGTGATTTTAGAAAATTGATATATCCCTTCTGAGGCTGAGTTTCCTCTCTCTATTAAGCTGTAGTAAAACTAGACTTCACTGTACCTACTTTCCAGTAAAAATCTCTGAACCCTGTTTTCTTATCTCATAGGTCAGGGTCCCCAGGTTCCAGGCCCCAGGCCATGGACAGGCTGCATAGCAGGAGGTGAGTGGCAGGCCAGGGAGTAAAGCTTCATCTATATTTATAGCCACTCCCCACTGCTGGCGTTACAGCCTGAGATCCTCTGGCAGGAGGATTCCTGTCACATCAACAGTGGCATTAGATTCTCATAGGAGTGTGAACCCTATTGTGAACTGTGCATGTGAGGGATCTAGGTTGCATGCTCCTTATGAGGATCTAATGCCTGATGATCTTTCACTGTCTCTCATCACCCCTAGATGAGACTGTCTAGTTGCAGCAGAATAAGCTCAGGGCTCTCACAGATTCTACATTACGGTGAGTTGTACAATTTTTCATTATATATTACAATGTAATAATAATAGAAATAAAGTGCACAATAAATGTAATGCATGTAATGTGCTTGAATCATTCCGAAACAATCCACTGCCCCACCCCATCTTGTGGAAAAAATTGTCTTTCATGAAATCGGTCCTTGGTGCCAAAAGGGACAACTGTTATAGGGTCTTCTTTGAGAAGGGTAACATTTAAATTATTTAGATTCCTGAAACTAGAATAGAATATCAATGACAAGATATCATTTCAGGATGATCATGTTCTTTTTAAACAATATATTGTTTATTTATTCATTAGTTTAGTTGATATATATGTGTTGGTCACCTAGTATATATGAGACACTGGGCTAGGGCCTACTATTAAGAATCAAGTTGATTGTATCTTTCCTTTATGGATCTTATGGTTCAATTGGAGGGGAGAAAATTAAACAATCAATTCAAGTTTCACGCATGCTGTGATGTGAAAGTTTAGGATGTCATAGAAGCACCTGTTTGGGGGAGAGGGGTCAACAATGCACTGAGGCCAAGAGACTCAAGAAATTATTTTTAATTACATATATTTAGCCACAAATATTTATTGATCACTTTCATCAAGAACTTCAATGGAATATGGTGATTAGAACAATTTGAAAACTGCTTTAAAAGTAAGGAAATGGAAAAAAAAAGGACAGGTATTCTAAGAGGATTAGGTCTAAATAAAGGAAAGAGAAATGGGGTGCCAGCAAAAGTGGGATGTGGAGAATAGTTTGAGTTTGTGATCTTTTATAAAATATTTTGAGAAAGAAGAATAGGAACATGATTAAAAGTTCTAAAGTATTACATAAGTTAATATTACACAAGTAATTAATGTTCATGGTAAAAAATACAAATCTGAAAAAAAATTTGTAAAATTCACATATAATCCTACTACCTTGATATAAACACTAGTACCGTTGTGGTGTCTAATCTCATGTGTGTGTATATATATGCGTACATACACACATATACACACATATAAATATGTGTGTTTCATTTTTATTGATATATCTTCATTTTGTACATATTTTATAACTTTTTTAATAAAAATGTATATTGAAAATATATTCAGTTCAATAAAAATGTACCTAATTATTCTTAATGGCATCACTTTGTATTCCATAGTTGTCATTTTATCATTCTATTACTGAACAATTTGGAAATTTTCTCTCTTTTTTTTTTTTTGAGACGGGTTCTTGCTGTTTCCCAGACTGGTCTTGAACTCCTGGGCTCAAGTGATCTTCCTGCCTTGACCTTCCAAAGTGCTGGGATTACAGGCGTGAGCCACCACATCCAGCCAGGATAGTTTTAAATGTTCATAAATATAAACAGTGCAATTATGAGTCATACACTTGTGATTACTTCATTTGGATAATTGCACACTTATCCCATTATTGCTTCAGGCTAAATTGCTAAAAGAATCGTAGATTTGCACTAAAATTTGCATCTGAGTTTGCACTAAAATTTGCACTAAAATATGCATCTCTAATACATAAGATATGCACTTGGAAAGCCAATACAAAGTAGCTAACCCCAGGTCTTGCCTGATTTAGCTCCAACTGGGCTTGGGAAGGATAATGGGGTCTCAATGAACAGTGGCTGAAAACCGTTATTTGAGCACTTGGGAGGCTACAGAAATCCTCTCCAATAAAGTGTTCAGGACAGAGGAGAAATAGGCAAATAGCTAATTAAACAAGGTCCATCAGAGAGACAGCCATATGAGGGGAGAGATTAGAGGGCCAAGCTGGCATTGACATTTGTGAAATGAAGAACCCACAGAGTCTCCTGCTTGAGAAGGGGATGGTTTGCCTGGATTGTTGTTATTAAGTTGGTTCTGGACTGGAAGACTGACAGACTGGCAACTGTTCACCAGGTTATATTTTGGGACTGTTGGCTTGGAAAAAGCTCAGCATTTGGCCAAACTGGTTAAGCCAACACCAAAGGGGAAAAATAACAATATGACAAAAGCAAAACACGTTTCTGAACTATCAGCCTCACTTTCTAGTATTTCACGTTAGATAATAATTATGAATTTGCTTTCTCTTCCTCAGAAAGTTATGACTGCCAAGAAGTTACCATAAAATACTTAAAGTATACTTAAAGTAAGAAGATCATTTAATCAGAACAACAGCAACAACAATAATGATGCAGGATAAAGTTATTTATTTTTGGTGGTATCTGTTATGTTTAGTTGTTATAACCAATTAAAATATGTTAGAGATAAAGATGCAGTTATGTCTTCCAAATGAATTTCTGAAGTACATTAATTCAGAACGAATGCGGAGGTAGCAAAGTGCCAGCATATTATACAGCCAGTTTTTTAGAAGTCAGCATTTAAAAATGATATTAACATATAAAATGTTTAAATGGGCTGTAAAATATTACAGAGCATAATTACTTATACATAAAATATCCCACAATATGGTAACACCTTGTCTTTGTTTACAATTATTATGAAATTTTTCATCTATGAAAACTGCATTCACGTTATGTTGATTTTTTAAAAATTGATAGGGCAAGTGTGTGGTCAATAAGTTCTGATGTTATAGTCCTTTGGGCTGCTTTACTCCTAAAGAAAACAAGCAGCCTCATATTTTGTGTTTGACAAAATTTTAATTGATATTCTTTAAATGAATTAAGTTGGGGAAGTACCATAAACTCTAGACCACTCTTTGAAATTCACAATGACACTTGCCTATTAAAACATCTGCAAAGTTCTGCAATAACTCCCATTTACCAA
The DNA here is from genome assembly GCF_000001405.40 of Homo sapiens. Lineage (NCBI taxonomy): Eukaryota > Metazoa > Chordata > Mammalia > Primates > Hominidae > Homo > Homo sapiens. The sequence continues at coordinate 172,348 of NW_017363818.1, read as the reverse complement.
ATGCTTATTAGACAGTACCAGGCACTGCATTAGCTGCCTTACATGTCTGATAATCACAACCTACAAAGTTTACATTAGCTTTGCTTTGCAGGAGAGGAAACAGATTGGTGAGTTAATTTCCTACATATTAACCTGTGTGTTAATACCTACATATTAACAAGTTAGGGAGATCTAGAATTATAAGTGTCTAACATCAATGTCCATGTTCTTTCTACAATGTGTTTCCATGCATGAAAACTAAATAATTCATAATTTGGTATATATTTATATTCAGTGAGTAATTAAGAATTTCAAAATCAAATTGTGTAATAAAACCAGGCTTTAAGTTTTTTCAAAGAATTGAGACACATCCCCAAACTAGGATATATGCCTGGTCTATGTGTATGCAGGGCACCTGGAGCCTTTGAGTTTATTGACCCTTATCATTCTCCTTTGTAATTAATTTGTCTGTACACACATGGAATATGTTTCCACAGCCAGGCACATGTCGAGGGCCCCTTGAAGTCGGATGATATCTGGCTCATCAACATATTATCACAGCCAATCAATGAATGGCTGGCATGGGGTATGCCTTCAATGGCATTTGCTGAAGACATGAATGAATTTTAATACTGAGGGCTGATTTAGCAAGCCACCTCTGTTTTTACACACATTAACACTGAAATAAAACAAAACACTTATTACAGATAACATTAAAAATTCAATTACTCCCAAAGGGTATCTAGTGATCTTGAGTTTTCTGATGATTCCACTGGGAGGTGGTAGAGAATACTCTCATTAAAAACGAACTTAATCCCAAATCCCATTCTCTGTTCTTGTTGTCTCCAAGTTGCCTCTCTCATAATGTTTCCAAAATTGTTCCCCTTTCTCTGACATTTTTACTATCCCATTGGCTCTAGCAGCCCATTTTTCTCAGATCTGCAAAATATATCATTAACTATAAAACACACAGATACGCACACACATACGTGTATTTATATGTATATGTTAGACTTGTGTATATGTATACCTAGACATAACTAAATATAGAAGCATAGTACAACAAAATAAGTGACTTTTTACTTGTGTAGATCTCTTTCAACTCTCTAGTTTCTAACTATGAAGAGAAAACTTCATTTAAAATTTCCACTCAAGCTATTTTTAACCTTTGAACATGCCCTTCTTGTAACATATAAATTTTAACATATAGACAGTAATCATATTCTGTTAATATTTCATTAATATGTTTTTCTTTAAACCCAAAACTGAAAAGTATTTTCTCAAAACTATTTATTTCAGTTTGAAGAGAAATGAATTTGTTGTTACCTGTAACAGTAAAACAAAAAAATTGAGTTAATATTTACCTTGTTTTTTATTCTACAGAAATAAACAGCACACATTTCACATCAAGTAGTTGAGATGTACACAATTTGGACAATTCAACCCACAGCATTTATATAGCTATAAAGGAATTGCAGTGCATTTTTATATCCCATAGTAGTACTTAAAGGGATTTAAAAATGTAAACAGTACGAAGATATGCTTATTTCAAAAGTATTCTGTGATCTGGTATCACTGATAATGTTGTGTAAAATGTGCTACAATTTTGAAGTCAGAGGACATAGAATATAGTATTAAAAATTACATTAAAGGCTGCCTATCATTTTTTTAAAATCTTTATACTTCAGCCACCATGATAGATTCTTAGACTTTAAAAAAATTAGAAGGTAAACTATGCAGCATATCAGAGTGTCTTTTGTTCACTTGAATCATTGGAGAAAAAGGCCCTGTGGCTTTTGAATTCATACACACAAGTCATTTTAGGCTCAATGATTTTATTATCATTACCACCATTTTTTCCAGTGGTTTATCTTCAACTACCAAGCATAAATGGAATCCAAAGTGTGGAACATCTCTCCATTATATTGTCTTCCAGTGTTTAAGCAATCTTCTCCTTTAAAGCTATGAGAAATGTGGCAAGATAGCTACTTTTGAGTATATATTTAAAGATTTATCTATTTTGTCTAATGACGACAAATGTGCCTTCATTTTATGTGCTTTATGCTTGAAATTTTACAGTAATACCTACAGCCCATTCTCTATAACAATGTGTGTTTTATAGCAAGGAATCAATTTAATTCAATAACATTTTAGTGATTCTTTTTGCCAAGTAACTTTTTAAACTCGGGGCACAGAGAGGCACATGGGACATGGGACATGGTTTCTGCCTTCAAGAATCTCACAGTTGAAAGAGAGATGGGTATATGCAATGTGATGGAAGACCTATGTCCATAGCCCTAAGAGACCTCAAAGAATAACAATCTCAGGATAAGGAAGAGGGAAAAATTGTGTTTGGAGTTTGATATTTATGCTACGCCTTAAAAAGTGAACAGAGCTTGGCCAGATAAATTCATCCATGGAGGATGTTCTAAGCAAAAAATAGTAAATGAGAATAGAACAATTGTGAATGTTTATAGCATGTATCTGGCACATATAGAGAAATAATTTACTTCAGAAAGACGAGATTATAGCACAGATTCGGGAAGCAGTAAAAAATGAGTGCAGAGAGATAGCAGGTTCATTTATGAATACACACAGATGTATTATATTTACATTATATATAATATAAATTTATATTTCAGAATCTACCCATGAATACCTCAGTACTAAGTTTTTACACATATATTGTTTATATTTATTACATTTATATATATAAATAACATCAATGGATGAATATATATACATAAACATATATTATGAATAAATTCATATATTATGAATAAATATATGAATGAATAAATATATGAATGAATAAATATGAGTTCGTTAATATCTCAGTACTCAATACACATAATATATATTTATAATATATATATTATATATCTATATTTATATATAAATAATATATACGTATATTGAGTACTGAGATATTCATGGATAGATTCTGAAAGTGAGAATAGGATACAGTCATAATTTTTTTCTTAAAATCCCATAAACTGGTCATAAACTAAGGTATATCTGGATTTTATCCATTGAACCAATTTCAATTATATATTAGTATAAATTATAGATTAAAATGACCAAAAAAATGAAAATGGACAACACTTATCAAAAAGATAGAAAGTTATTGTTATGAAGTAAGATAATATGAATCAATTTTTTTAAAAAAATCATTATTGCAGAGTTTGAAAATGGTATATCTGGAGGTGGCACCCTGTTTAGAAAGCTAATAAGCCTGTCCAGATAAGATGAAACAAGAGACAATTTGTAAACCTAGGTAGAATTTGTAGACATGTAGAGGAGAGCACAGATACCAGCTGCATTGAGATAGTAGAATAACTGTTTTCTTTTTTTGGTTTCTGATATTGAATTAAAGATTTAAATCTATGATAATACTCCAATTTTCCACATGGTTAATGGACATAACATTTAAGGACTCTTAGCAAACGTATACATTGTGATTGCCATGTACGTCTTAGCATGGGTCTTTCAGAACACAGATGATCCTGATATAGCAATTATAGGGTAACGTTTTATTGGAGTGTCAAGTGCAACAAGAGTAGAGATAAAGAGATACCAAAGAAGAAGGAAAAACCAATAGGGCATCTGTTTCATCGTTAGCTGTAAGTTTTCAAGCAAATACAACCATAGCTTAGTTTTTTACCCACTAAGATTTTCAGAATGTACTACATTGTATCACTGAGGGTCAGATTCCTTGATTAGTACAGGAGGGAGAATGAATAATTTATCCAGTTATTTTCTTCTCCTATTTTTCATTGTTTGAAGACTGAGAAAACAGCAAAGTATATGGGATATAGCTAAACTAGGGTTAGAGGGAAATTTACAGCTCCAAATGCCTCTATTAGTAAATTGAATCCAAAAGCACATTAAAAATTTATACAACATGATTAACGTGGATGCAAGGATGGTTCAACATACATAAAACAATAAATGTGATACACCACATTAACAGAATGAAGGATAAAAACCAAATAATCATCTCAATAGACACAGAAAAATGTATTTGATAAAATTCAACATCCCTTCTCCATGATAAAAACTCACAACAACTTAGATATAGAAGGAATATACCTTAACACAGTAAGGCCATATGTAAAAAAACCCACAGCAAAAAAGAAAAAAAAAAACAGATTAGGAAAAAGCTGAAAGCTTTTTCTGTATGAATTAGAACAGAAAGGATGATCACTTTTATCATTCTTATTTAAGATAGTACTGGACGTCCTAACCTAGAACTTCCATAGCAATTACGCAAGAAAAATAAATAAAGGACACCCATTTGCATATGACATGACCTGATATATGGAAAAAGAGTAAAGATTCAATCAAAAAAACTCATAGAAGTGATAAACAAATTCAGCTAAGTTGTAGGATGTAAAATCAAAATGCAAAAATCAGTAGTGTTTCTATATTTCAACAGAAAACTAGCTGAAAAGGAAATAAAGCAATTCCATTTATAACAACTCCAAAAAATAAGATACCTAGGAATAAATTTACCCAGGAAATATCTCTACAAATAAAACTATAAAACTCTAATGAAATGAAGACACAAAAACTTGGAAAGACATCTCATATTTATAAACTGGATGAATTAATATGCTAAAATATCTGTACTACCCAAAGAGATCTACAGATTTGAGGCAATCTCTATCAAAATACCAATGACATTCTTCACAAAATGAAAAAAAAAAATCCTAAAATTTGTATAGAACCATAAAAGATCTCAAATAGTCACAGCAATATTAAGCAAAAAGAATAAAGCTGGAGGCATCACAATACCTTACAGGTCTATGGTAAACAAAACAGTATGGTATTGGTATGAAAACAGACACATAGATGAATGGAACAGAGTAATGACTCAGAAATAAACCCAGATATTTACAGCTAACTGATTTTCAACAAGGGCACCAAGAACATAGATTGAGAAATTAACACTCTCTTCAAGAAATGGTGCTAGAACTGGATATCCCTATCCAAAAGAAAGAAACTAGATCCCTATTTCTCATGATATACAAAAATCAACTCAAAATGTATTGAAGTCTTAAACAAAACACCCAACACTATAAAAATACTAGAAGTGTAGCAGGACGAGCCTCAGACAAAACCCCTCAGAAACCGGGTTAAAGAAGGAAGAGGATTTATTTGGCTGGGAGCATCAGCAGACTTGTGTCTCAAGAACGAAGCTCCCTGAAGAAAGAGTTCCTGGCCCTTTTAAGGGCTTACAATTCTAGGGGTCAACGTGAAAGGGTCATGATAGATTGAGCAAGCATGTGGTATGTGACTATGTGGGGGTGGTGAGCAAGGCAAGTATTTCTCCATACCATTGTCTGTGATCTATAGATAGCACAAGCAGTTAGGGTGGGGGTTAATCTTTAACCTACAGGCCTGGCCAGTGGTGCCGATCAGTCTGTTATTTTTCAGTTTTTACTTCCTCCTTTTCTTTGGAGACAGGGGACAGTAAGAGAAATGGCCTCTCTCCTCATTCCCCACTTTGAGAACCTCACTCACTAGTAGGAGTTCTCACTCTTATCCTCACTACCCAGGTCTTCCTGTGAGATGGATCGATAGTGAGTCATGTAATATACTTGTGCTGAGGTCTTTTGATGAACTAAATTGGTAACGAAGCCTCTTAGCAACTGGAGAAATACAGGTAACATTCAGGGGAGTAACACGAAGATTCCTAACACTATTATTATTCCTATAATAAGAGTTTTAAATCCTCCTGGAGCTGGAAACCACTTTCAAAACAGGGATCCAGGATCAAACCTATGCCAAACCTGCATGGGCACATGTGCCAGCATTGTCATGTCTCTAACTATATATTTGACTACTTGTCCTTGATCATCTATTTGCAGACAGCAATTGGTCAAGTTGAATTTTCATAGACTCCTCCTTCAGCTGCCAGCAGATAGTCTAAGGCCAATCTATGCTGATAGATAGCATTTCTCTTTGGGTTTCCTGCTGGGCTAAAAGAGTCAAAGCTCTGCCAGTTTCATTAGTGATTATTTCTAAGATAACCTGTATGATCCAGTTGAGCATGTAGATGGGGGATCGGTATCCCCACGAGCCATCTTGTGCTCATATTGCAGGCCTATAGTACTGTATGATCCTTTCGGGGGGTTGGGGCACGCATCATCTTTCCAATTTCCTATAGCTCTGCTCCTCTTTTCTCAGGAGGCATAGACAGGGAAATCTAAGAGCTCACCTGCTTTTATGGGCAGTAGGAAAAAGGTTGGCTTAATGGTGCCAATGACACAACTACCTGCCCATTGATCAGGTAACTGAGTGTAGGCTCTGTGCCTACATATCCAGTATAGTCCAGAGGGAGCCGTCCAGTCTTGGTGAGATTCTGGATGGGCCTGAGCAGTCTGTAATTTAGGAAATTTACTGAAGGTATTCTTATCACTGTGGTTTAGACCCCACCAGTTGACTGTTCCTGTTGTGCTGTTATACAGCTTCTATCCTAGACAATTGAGCCTTCCTACAGGGATGGTGAAGTCTTTTCCTTCTCTAGCTATGTAGTATTGTCTAATAATTGAGGTTTTCAAGACCCAGAAGTTGCTAGTTTGGGCCTTCTGGACTGGAATTATGTCAGGAACTGGATCAGTAGGCACCAATTCAGGCTTCCCAAGACCATCAGTCTCCCATAGTGGTTCCCTCACATACATAACCAGAAGTAACATTGAGGGAATGAGGTACATTTTCTGCTAACTGGAGAAACAAGTTCTTGGTCTTTTTTTTTTTTTTTTTTTTTTTTTTTGTGGGAGCTTTTGTGCTGGCAGATTCAGCTCATCATAAAAGGTCTGAAACTGAAACACTGGTTTGGGAGAGCACCTCCCCTTGGACTAAATATTTACTCAGGGATCCAGTCCAGCTCCATTGATTCCTAGAGTTACATACTCTCCTGTTTTCCAGTGGGGATCAAGGGGATTGGTATAATTCTAATGAGTTACAGTGACCACTAGTGCAGGAAGAGTTACTCTTTCCTTTTTGAAGTCAGTCAGGGTCCTTCTTATCTTTTTCCAGGTGGCCTAAATGACACAGGACCAGTAAATACATTCATCACTACACAGTCCTAATTCATGACAAACATGCTTATTTTCTACTATACAGCTCTTTTCCCAATCTAGAGAGCTACATCTTATTCTATTTCCGTACGGGTCACTGTTGATTGCCGCACAAGTGTCAAATTTTAAGATAATTTGTTAGGGGACTCTTTTCTCTTCTGTTCTAGTTACTACTTTACTCATATCAGCTTTTTCCCCAGCTGCCAGTCCTCCATCTTATTTCAAAAATGGTAGTCATGGGGGCTCAGATGGATTATAGCACACATCAGGCTGGTCACTTCCTGGGCTACATACCTTGTATAGAGTAGCATTATACAAACAAGCTCCTTCTAGGGTCCCGGTACACTTTTAACTATAAAATAATAGGACTGAAGCAATCTTTTGTCCTACCTCAGTGACTTGATGTATGCACTGGGAACAGTCCTCAGTCTGAGGAAGGTCAGTTGAAGTCTTTACTGTACAAGTCCAAAATTTAAGGAAAATGAGTCCCACAATGAGTTTCCTCATGCTTCAGCCGTGGGTGGACCAGTCAGCTTCCGGTGTGACTGGAGCAGGGCCTGTCATATTCTTCAGAGTCACTTTGCAGGGGTTGTCTGGGCTTGGTCTCGCCTCCCAGGTCTCAGGTGCTGCAGGTATCACGTGGCTGCAGTGGATCCAGGCTGGGATTCCCTCTACCTTTACAGCTGTGGGAGTGGTCAAGACGATGGTCTGAGGTCCTTTCCACCGTGGCCAGAAGGGCGCTATGTTCCAATCCTTGATCCACACCTGATCACCTGAGGAGAAAGGGTGAACTGGGGAGAATAAGCTGACAGGGCACCTCTCATTTACCCAGGCTGAAATTGTGTAATTTTCCCTAAAGCCTGTAGCTGTCGCTGTAACTCAATTTCACCTTGCTTTCTAGGAGTTCCTGGGAGTCCCGTAGTATGGGAGGGGGCCTATGATACAATATTTCATAAGGGGAATATCCTATTCTTTTAGAAGGGGTACATCTAATCTTAAACAATATCATAGGGAGAGCTTCTACCCACTTTAATACTGTTTCTTGACACACTTTCCCTAAACTATTTTTGATAGTCCAGTTCATCTGCTCCACCTTTCTGGAACTTTGTGGTCAGTAGGCGGTATGTAGTTTCCATGTGATCCCCAATACCTTTGCTGTCTTCTGTACCAAGTCAGCCACAAACGACGGCCTGTTGTCCAAGCTGATTCTTAAGGGCAGTCCAAACCTAGGGATGAGATCTCGGAGAAGCACACGGGTTACTTCACGAGCTTTCTCAGTTCCTGTTGGGTAGGCCTACACCCACCCAGAGTATGTACACACTAGAACTAGCAAATACTTGTTACCACCACATTTGGGTGTCTCGGTGAAGTCTACTTGGAGACCTTCAAAGAAGTTGCTCCATAAGCTTGTATGCTGGGCGGGACGGTTGGACTTTACCTAGCATTGTGCTGCCGGCAGGTGACACACTGCTATGCCACTGTTTTGGCAAGGGCTGACAGATGTGAGATGTAGAAGTACCGGCCTAACAACTTTTCAAGTGACTCTTGGCCTAGGTGGGTGGTCTCATGCACAGCCAGTATGACTGTGGCTCCTAGCAGTTGTGGCACGGCTATTCTTCTGTCCAAAGCCAGATCCATCCCTCTTCTATCACCTGCCCTCCCTCTGCCTGGAGAAAGTCCTTCTCTTCTTCAGAATAAGTAGGTACAAGGTCAGGTGCCTGAGGGAGCAGTGGGGCTGTGACTGATGCCTGGTAGTGGGTGGATGCTGCTTTTTGAGCCTCTGAGTCAGCTCGGGCGTTCCTCAAAGCAATGGAGGTGGAAGCTCGCTGGTGTCCTCTGCAGTGCATGACTGCCACCTTTTGGGGCTTCCACACTGCCTCTAATAATTGCAGGATCTCTTGCTGATACTTTATGTCTTTTTCCCCAGAGTTCAACAGGCCTTTTTCCTTGTATAATGCCCCATGCACTTGGAGAGTTAAAAAGGCATACTGAGAGTCAGTGCAAATGTTTAAAGTCTTACCTTCACTTAACTCTAAGGCGCGAATTAGAGCAATGAGATCGGCCTTCTGGGCTGAAGTGCCCTGGGGCAACGATTTGGCTTCAATGACAGCGTCCAGAGTTACCACCGCATATCCCACACACCTCTCTCCTTGTAGGTTGATAAAGCTGCTTCTGTCTATGTACAGCTCCCAGTCTACCGATGTCTGAGGATGGTCTCGGAGGTCTGGCCTGCTAGAATAAACTGAGTCCAACACCTCTACACGGTTATGTTCAACTGGGCTCTCTGATATCAGGAGCAAGATGGTGGGGTTCAGGATGTTGCAAACTTCAGTGGTTATGCAGGGATTCTCACAGAGCAAGCTTTGGTACCTAGTTAGTCTAGCATTTGTTAGCCAATGATGTCCTTTGGTACTCATTAAAGTCACCACAGCACGGGGGGCCTTTATGTTTATGTTTTGCCCAAGAGTTAGCTTATCCACTTCTTGTGCTAGCAGGGCTGTTGCTGCCAAGGCCCTCAAACATGGGGGCCAACCCTTAGAAACCCTGTCTAGTTGTTTAGAGAGGTAGGCCACCGGCCTTGGCCAGGACCCCACAGTCTGGGTCAAAACTCCAAACGCCAATTTTTCTCTCTCTGACACATATAGCATAAAAGGTTTTGTCAGATCAGGTAACCCCAGGACTGAGGCTGACATGAGTTTTTCTTTTAACTCATGAAAAGCTCGTTGCTGTTGGGACCCTCATTTGAAAGGTTACTTGTCTCCCCGCTTTGTGACTCCATACAGGGGCTTAGCCAATACTGCAAAGTTTGGGATCCACAACCTGCAGAACCCTACAGCTCCTAAGAATTCTTTCACCTGCATTCTGGTCTTAGGCTCCGGCAGGTTGCAGATGACTTGCTTGCTTTCTGATCCCAGGCTGCACTCTCCCTGTCGAATAGTAAATCCCGGATTACATACTTGCTGTCTGCTGATCTGAGCTTTCTTCTTGGACACCTTATACCCACAGTCCTCCAGGTGTCAGAGCAGGATATCTGTTCCCTTGGTGCACCCGACTGCCATGGGGTGTCCCAGCAGGAGGTCATCGACTTACTGGAGCAGCACACAGCCTAGGTCTCTGGCAGGAAACTTCTGGAGGCCTGGAGCCAGTGCCTCCCCAAAGATGGTGGGGGAGTTCTTGAACCCTTGGGGGAGACAGATCCAAGTGTACTGAGTGGTGACACCTGACCCCAGATCCTCCCACTGAAAGGCAACCAGTTTCTGGCTCTCAGGAGCTAGTCTAATTCTAAAGAAAGCATCCTTCAGGTCCAGGTGGGTGAACAAGCTATCCTCAGCTGGCAGCAACCCCAACAATGTATACGGATTAGGTACCGTTGGATGCAAAGTCACTATAGCTTGGTTGACCATGTGCAAATCGTGTATCTGACTGTAGTCCTTGGTACCCGTCTTGGGAACAGGTAGGAGGGGAGTGTTCCCTGGAGACTGACAAGGGACTATAATTCCAAAGGCCCTCAGGCGCTTGAGATGGACCTGGATGCCCTCAAGGGCTTCTCTGAGGACCAGGTACTGCTTTTGCCTGACCAGCTGGGCCCCAGGCTTAACTTCTATTGGTATGGGTCCTGGTTGATTGCCAACCCTGGAGGATTGTCTTCCACCCACACCCTTGGCCACCACTTAGCCTGGCTCAGTTAGAAGAGTCTCCATTCCTCTTCCCGAAGAACCGTAAGGGCCATGATGACTCCTGTTCCAGGAAACTTTAGCTGTAAAGAGCCGTGCTTTGTAAAAGAGATAGTGACTCTCAGCTTGCTAAGTAGTTCCCTTCCCAGTAAAGGCAAGGGGCAGTCAGGCATGTACAGGAACTGGTGAATTACTTCATGCCCCCTAATAGTGCAGGTCCAGGGCAAACAGAAAGCTTGCTTTGCGGAAATCCCTGTGGCTCCGATTATATCAATAGTCTTTTTGGATAAGGGGGCGACCGGGGTGGTTACTAATGAACGTTCAGCACCAGTATTGACAAGAAACTCAATGTCCTTGCCCCCGACTGTCATCCTGACCATGTGCTCTTTGGGGGCATATGAGCCCAGTCCCCTTCATTCAGTAACTCTTCTGCCACATTGAACAAGGCCCTTTCGTCCTTGTCTGAGGCCTCCTGCTCAGAGTCAGCTTGTTTTCCTTTTAACTGGGGCACTTGTCCTTCCAATGTCCTATTACAGTAAGCACACTGGTTATGCTGCAAGCCTGGATGGCCAGACTGGGTATTTTTCCTGGGCCCCCCCCTTCTCTTGCCCCTTTGGGGAGACCCCTCTAATAGCTGTGGCTAGTAGGTCAGTGTTTTGCCAGGCTTGGCGTTCGCTCTCTCTGCGGTTCTCTCTGTGGCTTACCGCATCTCTATTCACAAACAACTGGTTGGCTATCTCCAATAACTGTGAAGTATTCCTCCCTGCAAACCCAGCCTGTTTCTGTAGTTTTCTTCTAATGTCTTCTGCACTTTGACTAACTAAAGCCATGTTAATCACGCGCTGATTCTCAGGGCTGTTGGGATCAAAGGGGGTATACATACGATAGGCCTCACATAGTCTCTTGTAAATAGGGTACCAGGCAGCTCTTGAGACACTTGTTCCAGGCGCTCACTCCCAGATTCCATTTCTAGACACACCCTGAACCAGATGGGAACTCACTACCTTGAGGGAAGGGTCCCAGTCATGGAAAGATTTATCACCTGCTGACTAAAGAGCCCTGGGGCCCTGAATAATCAGCAATTGGAGTCAGCCCCTTACTGTAGGCTGTGGGTGAAACTCAGAGCTCTACTGGCTTCAGCTGTGACACAGTACATTACCAGCTATGATGGTTATGGATAGAGACTTCTTCCACTTGAGAAAAGGAGAGGAAAAAGTGAAAGGGACTTTGTCTTGTAGCTTGGGCACCAGCTTGGCCAAAGTGGAGTAGAGCACCAAGCAGGCTCCTGAGTTCCCTTATTCCAGACCTTGGCTCCTGGATGGTATTTCTGGACCTTCCCTGGGCCAGAAGGGAACCCAGTGCCCTGAAGGGAGAGACCCAGACATGGCAGCATTCACCACAATTGGACTGAAGAGTCCCTGGGCCTTGAGTGAACATGGATGATAGCCAGGCAGTACTTTTCACAAGCATGCTGTGGTGGCAGCAATGGCAAGAGATTCCTCTGCTTGAGGAAAGGAGAGGGAAGAGTGGGAAGGACTTTGTCTTATGTCCTGGTTGCAGCTCAGCTGCAATAGAATAGAACACCATGTAGATTACTAAGGTTTCTGACTCCAGGTCCTGGCTCCTGGACAGCATCTCAGGACCCACTCAAGGCTGGGGGGATCTCTTCACCCTGAAGGGAATGACCCAACGGTGGCTGGATTCATCACCTGCTGATTATAGAGCTCTTGGGCCTTGAATAAACAGAAGCAGTAGCCAGGCAGTGGTCACCGTGGGCCTTGGGTGAGACCCAGTGCTGTGCTTGCATCAGGTATGACCCAGCACAGTCCTGGTGGTGGTGACCATAGAGGTACTTGTGTCACCCCTAGCCCTAGCTCCTGGAAGTTCAGCACAGAGACAGAGACTCCTTTTGTCTGGGACAAAGTAAGGGAAGAGAAGAAGAGTCTTTGCCTGATAATCCAAAGAATTATCCCAGATCTTACCTGAGATCACCTAGGCAGTACCTATAAGAGTCCACAAGAGCCATAGTTGTTCATGGGCTTGTGTTGTGCCCTAATACAGATACAGCTGCTGTGTCTAAAGACTTAAATCACAAAACCAAAGTACCTTCAAGTGTTTTGGAAATCCTTGCCAAGAAGGGTGGATACAAACAAGCCCAGACTGTGACGACTACAAGTAATACATAATTCTTTAATGCCTAGCACTGAAAAACATCCACAAGCATCAGAGTCATCCAGAAAAGCATAACCTAAACAAACAAATTAAATAAGGCACTAGTGACTAGTCCCATAGAGATACAGATGTGTGACCTTCCAAACAGAGAATTCAAGATAGTTGTTTTGAGGAAACTAAAGAAATTCAAGGTAACATAGAGAAGAAATTCAGCATCATATTAGATAAATTAAAGAGATTGGCGTTATTAAAAAGAATCAAGCAGAAATTCCAGAGATTAAAAATGCAATTGACATACTGAAAAATGCATCAAAATCTCTTAACAAGAATTGATGAAGTGGTAGAAATAATTAGTGAGCTTGAAGACAATCTATTTGAAAATGCACAGTAAGAGAGAACAAAAGAAAAGAGAACATAAAAGAATAAAGTATGCCTACAAGAGTTAGGAAAATAGCCTCAAAATGGCAAACCTAAGCAATATTGGCCTTGAAGAGGAAGGAGAGACAGAGAGACCAGGGTAGAAAATTTATTCAAAGGGATATTAAAACGACTTCCCAAACCTAGAGAAAGATATACATATGCAAGTACAAGAAGGTTATAGAACACCATGAAGATTTAACCCAAATAAGACTACTTCAAGATAGTTAATAATCAAACTCCCCTTGGCCGGGCACAGTGGCTCACGCCTGTAATCCCAGCACTTTAGGAGGCTAAGGCGGGTGGATCACGAGGTCAGGAGATCGAGACCATCCTGGCTAACATGGTGAAACCCCATCTCTACTAAAAATACAAAACATTAGCCGGGCATGGTGGTGGACACCTATAGTCCTAGCTACTCAGGAGGCTGAGGCAGAATGGTGTGAACCTGGGAGGTGGAGCTTGCAGTGAGCCGAGGTCAAGCCACTGCACTCCAGCCTGGGCGACAGAAGCAGCAAGAAACACACACACACACACACACACACACACACACACACACACACACACACAAATAACATGGAAGGGCATTCCAAAACATCTGGCAGAATTCTCAGTGGAATCTTTATAGGCCAGGAGAGGGTGGCATGACATACTTAAAGTGCTGAAGGAAATAAAAAGCTTTTATCTTAGAATAGTATATCCAATTTAAACATCCTTCAAACATGAAGGAGGAATACTTTCCTTGACAAACAAGTTGGGGGATTTCATCACACAAGACTTGTCCTTCAAGAAATGCAAAAGAGACTTCTTTAATCAGAAAGGAAAGAGTGATAATGAGCAATAAGAAATCATTTGAAGGTACAAAACTCACTGGTAACAGTACACAGAAAAACAATATTATAACAGTGCAATAATGGTATGCAAACTACTTATATTCTGGGTAGAAAGACTAAAAGATGAGTTGGTCAGAAATAATAACTACAACAACTTTTCAAGGCATAGACAGTATAACAAGGTACAAATAGAAACAACAAGAAGTTAAAAACGATGGATAAAAAGTGTAGAGTTTTATAAGCTATCTCTTAGTTACTAATAGTTTATTTTTGCAATCAGTGTTAAGTTGTCATCAGCTTAAAATAGTGGGTTATATTATTTGTAAGCCTCATGGTAATCTGAAATAAAAAAACACACAACAGATACACACACAAAAAAAAACAAAAGTGAGAAATTAAAACATGGCACTAGAGAAAATCACCTTCACTAAAAGGAAGATGGAAGGAGGAACGAAAGAAGGAAAAGAAGGCAACAAAACAACCAGAAAGAAAATAACAAAAATTACAGGAGAGTGTTTATACTTATCATTAATAACATTGAAAATAAGTGGCCTAATATCTCCAATCAAAAGACATAGAGTGGCTGAATGGATAAAAAACACAAGACCCAGTGGTCTGTTCCCTGTAAGAAACAGACTTCACCTATAAAGATAAACATAGATTGAAAATTAAGAGAAATGGAAAAAGATATCCTATGCCAATGGAAACCAAAAAAGAGCAGATGTATCTATATTTCTATCAGACAAAATAGATTTCAAGACAAAAACTATTTAAAAAAAGACAAGATCATTATATAAAGAAGACAATTCAGCAAGAAGATATAACCATTGTAAATATATGCACCCAACACTGGAGCATTCAGACATATAAAGCAAATATTAGAGCTAAAGAGAGAGAACAACTCCAATACAATAAGAGCTGAAGACTTAATCATCCCACTTTTAGCGTTAGAAAGATCATTGAAACAGAAAATCAACAAAGAAACATCAGACTTAATCTGCACTGTAGAACATTTCATCCAACAGCTGCAGAGTATGCATCCTTCTCCTCAGCACATGGATCTCTCATAAGGGTAAACTATGCATTAGGCCAAAAAACAAGTCTTAAAATATTCAAGAAAATTGGAATTATATTAAATATCTTCTTTGACAACAATGAAATAAAACTAGAACTCAATAACGAGACAAATGTTGGAAACTATACAAACACCTGGAAACTACACAATATACTTCTGAATGACCAATGGGTCAATGAAGAAATTAAGATGAGAATTTAAAATTTTTTTGAAACAATAAAAATGGAAACACAGTATACCAACATTTGTGGGATACAGCAAAAGTAGTACCAACAGGAAAATTTATAGCAATAAACACTTACATCAAAAAATTAGAAAAACTTTAAATGAACAGCCTGACAATGCACCTTAAAACACTGGAAAAGTAAGAGGAAACCAAACCCTAAGTTTATGGAAGAAAAGAAATAATAATGGTCAGAGCAGAAATAAATGAAATGGAAATAAAAAAATTACAAAATGTCAACAAAAGAAAAACTTGGGTTTTTGAGAAGATAAACAAAATTGACAATCCTTTAACCAGGCTAACTAAGAAATAAAGAGAGAAGACTCAAATAAATAACATCAGAAATAAAACAGGAGACATTACAACTGACACCAGATAAATTTAAGCGACCATTAGAGGCAACTACGTACAACTATATGCCAATAAACTGCAAAACTTTGAATAGATAGGTAAATTTCTAGACACATATGACTTACGAAGACTGAACAATTAAATTCAAAACCCAGACAGACCAATAATGAATAATGAGATGACAGCCGTAATAAAAAGTCTCCAGGAAAAGAAAAGCCTAGGACCTGTTGGCTTCACTACTGGATTCTACCAAGCATTTAAAGAAGAACCAATACCAATATTACTCAAATTTTTCCAAAACATAAAGGAGGAGGGGATACTTCCAAACTCATTTCATATCGTATCAACAGAATGAAGAACAAAAAAACATGATTGTTTCAACTGATGCTGAAAAACTATTTGATAAAATTCAACATTCCTTTATGATTAAAAAAAAAGCCCTAAAAAAACTCTGTATAGAGGGAACATACATCAACACTATAAAAACATATGACAGACCCATAGCTAGTATCACATTTAACAGGAAATAACTGATAGGCTTTCTGCTAACATCTGGAAGAAGACAAGAATACCTGCTTTCACCACTGTTATTTATCATAATACTGGATGTCCTAGCTGAAGCAATTAGACAAGAGAAAGAAATAAAGGGCATTCAAACTGGAATGAAAGAAGTCCAATTATTCTTGTTTGCAGATAATATGACTTTATATTTGATTCCACAATATAGTTGACTCCACTAAATTTGTTTATTAGTTCTAATAATTTTCTTTTGGAGTCTCCACAAGAAAACTATTAGAACTAATAAACAAATTCAGTAAAGTTGAAGGATACAAAATTGACATACAAAAATCAATAGCATTTCTATATGCCAACAGTGAATGATGAGAAGAAGAAATGTAAAATGTAATCTCATTTACAATAGCCACACAAAAATTAAATACCTAGGAATTAACTAAACCAAATAAGTGTGTAAGATCTCTATTATGAAAAGTATAAAACACTGATGAAAGAAATAGAAAAGGACAAGAAAGAATTGAAAGACAATCTATGCATTCATGGGTTAGAAGAATCAATATTGTTAAAATATCTATACTACTCAAAGCAATCTACAGATTCAGTGCAATCCCAATCAAAATACTAATCACATTCTTCACAGAAATAGTAAAAACAATCTTATAATTTATATGGAACCACAAAGGATCCAGAATAGACAAAGCTATCCTGAGCAAAAAGAATAAAGCTGGAGGCATCACATTACCTGACTTCAAATTATGCTACAGAGCTATAGTAACCAAAACAGCATGGCACTGGCATAAAAATAGGCATATAGACCAATGGAACAGATTAGAGAATCTGGAAATTATACATCTACAATAAACTCATTTTTGATAAAGGTGACATGAATATACATTGGGGAAAGGACACTCTCTTCAGTAAATGGTGCTGGGAAAACTAGATATCCATATGCAGAAGAATGAAACTAACTAGATGCATATATGTTGCTATATAAAACCAAATCAAGTTGGATTAAACACTTAAATCTAAGACCCCAAACAATGAAACTACTGAAATAAAGTATTGGGGAAACTCTCCCCAGCAAAGATAGATCTAGACAAAGATTTCTTGAGTAATATCCCACAAACAGGCTACTAACACAGAAGTGGATAAATGGGATCACATCAAATTAAAAAGTTTCTGCACAGAAAAAAAATCAACAAAGTGAAGAGACAACCTAGAGAATGGTAGAAAATATTTGCAAACTTTCCATCTGACAAAAAATTAGTACAACTGCTATGAAGAACAGTTGGGAGGGTTTGGAGTTTCCTCAAAAAAGCAAGAAGAGAACTACCTGGATATATATCTAGCAGTGGGATCCAGCAATCCCACTGCTAGATATGTATCCAAAGATAGGAAATCAGTATATCAAAGAGATACTGGCAGTCACATGTTTGTTTCATCACTATTCACAATATTCAAGAATTGGAAACAACCTGTGTCCATCCAGACAAATGGATAAAGACAATGCGATGCATATACATAATGGAGTACTGGGGAGTCGTAGAAAAGAATGAGATTCTGCCATTTTCAACTACATGGATGGAACTGGGGAACGTTATATTAAGTGAAATAAGCCAGGCACTGAAAGACAAAGTTTGCATTTTCTCACTTATTCATATGACCTAAAAATTAAAACAAACTCATGGAGATAGAGTGTAGAATAGTGGTCACCAGAGGCTGGGGGAAATTGAGGATGGCTAATGGGTAACAAAATATAGTTAGAATGAGTAAGATCTAGAATTCCATAGTACAATAGTGTGATTACAGTCAACAATAATTTATTGTACATTTTATAGTAGCTAAAAGTGTATAATTGGATTGTTCATAACACAAATAAAGTTTAAATGTTTGAGGTGATGGATACTCGACTTACCCTGATGTGATTATTTTGAATTGAATTCCTGTATCAACATATCTCATGTACCCCATAAATATATACACCTCCTATCTACCCACAAAATAAAAAAATTAAAAAGACACTAGTGTTCAGATTCCTCAGGGAAAAAAAAAAACAACTAAACATAGTACGACCATACAATCTAGCAATCTCACCACTGAGTTTTATCCAATAGAAAGGAAATCAGTGTATCAAAGGGATACATGCCTCCCATGTTTTTTTGTGGCAGTATTCACAATAGCAATGAGAGTGAATCAAACTAAGCATCCACAAATGGATATATGGATAATGAATATGTGGTACAATCACACAATGAAATACTATTTAGCCATAAAAAATTGAAATCATCTGGAGCAACATGAATGGAACTAGAGGCTGTTTTGTTAAGCTAACTAAGCAAAATGCAGAAAGACAAATATCATATATTCTCACTCATATGTGGCAGCTAAAAAAGTTGATCTCATGGAGTTAAAAGAGGTAAAAAGTGGAACAATGGTTACCAGAGGCTGGAAAGGATGCATGGTATTTTGTTTTGTTGTTTTTGCTTTTTTGTTTGTTTGTCTTGTTTTTGAGACAGAGTCTCACTGTGTCACCAGGCCGGAGTGCAGTAGCGTGATATCAGCTCACTGCAACCTCCACCTCCCGGGTTCAAGTGATTCTCCTGCCTCAGCCTCCCGAGTCGCTGGGATTACAGGAGCACGCCACCACGCCCAGCTAATTTTTGTATTTTCAGTAGAAACGGGGTTTCACCAGGATGGTCTCTAACTCTTGACCTCGTGATTCATCCACCTCAGCCCCGCAAGGTGCTGGGATTACAGGCGTGAGCCACTGCACCCAGCTGCATGTGTGTGTTTTCAGGGTTAGGGATGAAGAGGTTGGTTAATGGGTACAAACATAGAATTAGGTAGAAGGAGTAATTATAATGCTTGAAAGTAGAGTAAGGTGTCTATATTAACCCACATTGTAATGCACGTTTCAGGATAGCTAGAAGCGAGAACTTGAAATATTCTCAAAACATATAAATTATAAATGTTCATGGTGATAAATATCCTAAACACCTTGACTTGGAAACAATCAAAATGTGTATCAACTGTGAATGAATAAACAAAATGTGTTATATCCATACAACGGAGTATTACTAGGTAATGAAAAGGAGTAAGTACTGATACATAATATAACATGGATGAATCTCGAATGCATTACACCAAGTTAAAGAAAGCAAACACAATAGATCAAATATAATGTGACTTAATTTATATTTAATGTCCAGAATAGGAAAATAGATGTAGAAAACTAGATTAGTGATTCCCTAGGGTTGCTGGTGGGAGTAAAATGTGGAGTGACTGCTAATGTATATGGGGTTTCTTTTGGGAGTGATGAAAATGTTCTTAAATAAGATTGTGGTAATTCTAACAGAATTCTGAATATACTAAAAACCACTGAATTGTACATTTTAAATAGGTGAATTTTATGATATTCAAATATTCTTCAATTAAGCTATTTTTAAAAATCAAGTCATTAAGTTATAGAGATATTTTCAGATAATGTCTAAAATTTGAATAAAAACATATAAGTAATATGTAAATTAACTAAATAAGATTAACCATGGATTGATAATTGTTGAAGCTCTTTAAGAGCATCTGGGAGTTAATCATCCTGTTTTTTAGTTATATCTGTACTATGAATTTTCAATGAAACTAATTTAAAAAGAATTTTTCTAGCCATGGCTTGAATATCATGCCCATGTGCTTAGAAAAATAAACTACACTGAGAAAATTATGCTTATATCCTGTGAAATACGCCATTAATTATTTCAAATTAACAATTGGCAAGGATTAATAACATTTGATATATTACATAAATGTCTCAGAGAAGTAAAATAAGAAAACGTATCCTCTTGATAGCAGAATGATTGTTAGGTGGTCTCTTTGGTAATCAGTCACTTCAATATTAAAATGGAGCATTGAGATACTAAATTCTTTGTCTATATTCTTTCATATATATGGAATGAATGAATCATTTTGACAAGTTGTGACATTTAAAAAAGTGTATTTCCTCTAGGGAAGAAAACTTGGTCCTTAGGAACTCATGCCCTACTCTTTATTATAATAGAGACCAAAGCAGAGAATAATTTTCTTCTCTTGTCATATGACTTGCCAGCAATGTTTACCTTTAGGGAGTCAGGGCCAGACCAGGGCAAGGGGTATTATTAGGATAAGGACAGCAAATGCTTGGCACCCATGCTGCTCTCCTTTACTTCTGTATTAGGAAAGACATGGTTCATTGTCTCCAAATTCTTTCCCACTGAGTTTTAGCATCTTCCTCAACAAAGTGACCCTGAGAACACACTACCAGTCAAAGTTCATATGTGAGTTAAAACTTATTTGTTTTTCAGGTTTTTGTGTTGATGCTGGTATTAAGGGTACTGTTAGGGGTAAGGCTAGGATTCAACTTTAGCATGAAAATAAATGTTAATCTCCTAGAGTAAGAGGCTTTAAATAGATTGAGCATTAGCATGAGGATTTTGGCTAAGATTAGTGCTAGAATTAGGGTTAGCTTTTAGATGGTATAGTTACTATTTCGGGCTACAGTTGTGTCTTAAAATATTTTGCTTAGTATTAGAGACGATGAAAGTAGAATTGGTATATTTTACTGTGGTAGAGTCAGATTATATCATCTCGTTTATATCATACAGTAAAACCTCCCCCAATTCACATATTCCTTCTCTGATTATTCATCCTGATCAGGTATTTTGAAAAAAGTAGTAATGAAAGATCTGAAGAACTCTTAGTTCATACTAATACCTAAGCTTATAAGTTAGTAGAGTTTTATTTTGAAGATTATTCTATGTGAGTCACAAATTTTATGAGTTAACTTTAGTATTTGACTAATTACATTTGTTAGGCTACTTAAGAAAGATACTGCAACATGTTTCAAGTATCTTTTAATCACCCTTAAAAAAATCAAAGTGATCAAAAGCCACTAATAAGATGACAAACATAAATAACTGATCAGTGTATACAGTGAAGTAATAATCAGTTGAACTGAATACATCTGCATCTGCATTAAAATAGATAAATTATTTTCAACTACAATGCAGAATTTCCATTATATGAACAGATTTGAAGACATGACAGCAAAATGTCACACACGTATTGCTGTTCAATTCTATCAACCTTGTCCAATTTATCATTCTTGTTTCAAAATAGAGAGCAGGAAATACTTTATAGGTATTAGGAACCATGCCAAACAGGATAAATTGTTTAAATCCCTTTAAGAAATTTCTCACTTTAAACTGAAAACAAACAAAACAGGCTGATTGACACAACGTCGTGGAGTTAATGTAGCTTTCTTGCTTGCTTATTAACTAACCCTCTACCTATCGTCTTCATTTCCCAAAAGGATTTGAAAAAGTTTAAATAAGTGTAATTAATTAAGACACAAAAATGAATATATTTTTAAAACAGAGAATGGAAAAATAAGGGTAAAATATCAAAGTCAAAATCTGTGAGCAAATAGTAATACAGAATGCACACCATTAGATTTTCTACATTTATTCAAGTTGTACTGCAAATTGACCCCAGACCCCCTCAATTACAAATGTAAATAGAAAAACAAGGTGATGAATATCCCAGTTATCCAGAATTGATCATTATACATAGTATGCTTATATTAAAATATCACATATAATTCATAAGTTAAAAAATAAAGTCAATTTAAAAAAATAAACAGAAAAACACGATACTGTGAGATTTGAATTGTTAATAATATATATTGGGCAAATATAATTAGACATAATATGTTGTCAGTATATTACCAGTTACTAAATGAATCAATGAAAAAAGTCATGTAAAATCTTTCTTCTCTTGAATTACTCTTTGCTCATCTATGCTTGCATATGATAAAAGATAAAAAGACAAAATGATATTCTTCCATCTATATTTCTCTTTAAGAAACTCCATTCCAAAGACCAAAGTTACAGTGTATTCATGTAGCTTTATTCAAGAAAGGTAGAAGCTATGGAATAATCCGCTTCTGGTCTTACAAGCTTTCAAGAGAATATAAGAAAGTGTCATTTCATCAAGGGCAAGGTTTCATGTCAAATAATGTGTAAAATATAATAATACTCAGCAGGTAATAAAAGCAATGCAGAGGAAAAAAAACTTAAAGGCTACATAAAAACATTACCGGGGACATTATAGCTGTGACTGAAAATTCTTGAAGTTCTTTTGTTTAGATTATGTAACCCAAGAAAGAAGGGGAATCAAAATCCTGAGTCTGTTTGTGGCAAGTGCAATTTTCTCCACCTTTTTTCCTTCTCACTTTCGATTGATACTTTCATACTTAATTTTATAGGCACTTAACAGCCCCAGTGAAGATAGTAGGTTAGAAAGAACACTTTTTAGCAGGCATAGAATCTGAGATCCAGTTTTGGCTCTGTCTCCAAGGCTTTTTCCTTCACATTTCATCTCATTCTCCCCATCTTTAAATGTCAGTTACTTCTAAGTTCACACTGCAAATCTACCTTCCAATAATTATATGACTTAAGGTAAATTACTCAACCTTTCCTACACCTTAAAGAGATTCAACCCGAAATATCTTACAGAACTTTTGGTAGGATTGAATGAGCTAACATATCTGGAAAGCTTATAGGAATAGATTGTGTGCCCAACTTATTTGTTCTCTGGGTTTTGTGTTGATGCTGGTATTAAGGACACAGTTAAGGTTAAGGTTAGGATTTAGCTTAGTTATTAGTATCATCTAAGAGTTCTTTTAAACACACGGATTACGTACCCAAAACATAACATTATATGTGCCCAATACATGCTATTTCCTTTCCCTTTTCTTTTGCATTCCTCTTTTCTGTAAAGTCTCAAGCTCTAAAATGCATGTTTATGTTAATAAACAATAGAGGAAACACATACCTCACCAGCATTAAATACAAAATATGATACCACTCTTTTTAGTGTAAAGTTAAATTATACCTTGGCCTCATCAGACTATGAATGGCAATGTCCTTTTCTCCTCCTTTGGAAGTCCTCAGTCCCAATATAAGTCCATGAATCTCAAGGAGATAATTTGGTCCTGGTTTCTCAGAGAAGGAAAGAAAGATGCAGAAAGAAAGGAAAAGAAAACTTTATGCATCCAATTCACCAAATTCTGTGTTATTTGTTGTGTAACTGCCACATGGCAACCCATACAGTGCTTGTTAGACGGGATTGCCCAAAGTATACACTACCTCCTCTGATCCAGCAAAAGAATCACTGATATACGTGTTAGCATGTATATGTATGATAGTGAAGGAGGGTAGGAAGCATAAAAGGAAATCTCTCCTCTATAGTACTATGTTCAACATTAGCTACTACATACTGTGATATTCTATGCCTAGACTTGGCTGCTACTATCATATATATATAAAATATACTTGTATGTATGTGTATATATATGTATGTGTGTATATATATGTGTGTGTATAAATATGTATGTGTGTATATATGTGTGTGTGTATATATATATACACTTTAATGAGTCTACTTTTGTAGACTCTTTAGTGAGTCTATTTTTTATGTGTGCAATCATACACACTCATAGTCATTTTGCAAAGATATGGCAGAGAGTGCCAGAGTGGATGAGTATGAGAGAATTCTAGCAGTATAAACACACTGTTCAAGGATCTTACCTTCCTTTATAACAAAGAGTCACTCTGCTGGGTTCTTGTTCTTTGTTGTTTGCTTGATGAGTCTGAGTCCTATATGAATTGCCTCTGACGTTGGAGCCCTACACCCAGTACTGCTACTAGCAGCAATATAGGGAGGACTAAGGATGAAGGATGAATTGAAAACTTTTTATTGCTCTTCTCCCTAAAGTATAAGAAGTTGTCTCATACTCATCTGATCCTTGAAGCAGGCTCTATTAGACCTGATCATAGTCTACCTTAGCATGGCCAGCAGTAGAAAATCCTCTTATCTTTACCCTTATGACTCCCAAAAGATAATCACAAAAGAAGTTTTGTCTGACTTTGATGTCTATTCAGAGATGGCCAATTAATATTTTCATTTTGTTATACACATAGGAAGAAATCTTTATATATTCAAGTGGCTATGTCTATTATGATGGTCATAAAAACCTGGATCAAATGGGGGCTTGTTTCATTCCCAATGACAGACTCTAAACACGATCCTCCCTGCCTTTGTTTTTATTCTTATCCCTTTGAATACCTCTGGCTTTTCTGCCTCTGTCAGATTCTACTTCAGTGTTCCCATTTCAAAAATCCCTTTGGAGAAATGGAACTCTTTTGGCTCTAATGAGTGTACTGAAATTGTTTTTCCAAGAATGATTAAGACATTCAGACTGTATGTGGTAGAGGTAACTGCTCCCCATACTGCCTTAGCAAGGAACAGAGCAGTTGGGAACAGCAAATACTGCAGTGTTATGTAAGGACTCATTACTCTCCTTTGCTCCTCTGCCTGCTGGCTCCCTAAGCAATAATGGGCTACAATATGCACCTATGAGAGAACCCTGAAGCCATTTAAGGGTATTCCATAAGACAAGCTGCAGAAAATAAACTAAACTTAGCCTAGAAGTGGAGAGAAGAAAATAAAGATAAGGCAAGTGATACCATAAGATACAGGTGTGGGTCTATCCACAGCAGTTGTCTCAGTGCCAAAAATTACTCCCTCAAGACTTAGTTGAATTATAAGCTGATTTATATTCCTGAATCATTTAATTTTGCTACAAAATGTCTTCCACTATTCCATCACCCCAAGCTCCTGTTCAGCAGTTTTTTCTCCTTTTCAAAGTAGGGCAGGAGTTTAGAGAGAAAAGCCTTCTTTCTGAGACTTTGAAATGATGAAGTCCAGGCATCTACTCCAGGAATATGTACTCACATAATAAATACAAAGTATAAGCCTATATGATACAGTGTTATAGACTCAATAATAACAGTGAGAATTGGCTTTAAAATGCTGGAGTATTAGGAAGTCAAAACATAAGACATGCAAAACAAACAAAGAATATACTTTTTGAGGAAATAATGAGCTTAAGTGGAGTTTCATTGAAATATCAAACTGTGTCCAGAGTTGGTCCCTGCCAGTGGGTTTGTGGTCTCGCTGACTTCAAGAATGAAGCCACAGACCTTCACGGTGAGCGTTACAGCTCTGAAAGATGACACAGACCCGAAGAGTGAGCGGCAGCAAGGTTTATTGCGAAGAGTGAAAGGACAAAGCTTCCACAGAGTGGAAGGTGACCCGAGCAGGTTGCTGCTGCTGGCTGGGGTGGCCAGCTTTTGTTCCCTTATTGTCCCCTCCCATGTTCCATTTCTATCCTATCAGAGTGCTCTTTTTTCAATCCTTCCCACGATTGGCTACTTTTAGAATCCTGCTGATTGGTGCATTTTACAGAGTGCTGATTGGTGTGTTTTACAGAGCACTGATTGGTGCATTTTACAATTGTCTTGTAAGACAGGAAAGTTCCCCAAGTTCCCACTCAACCCAGGAAGTCCAACTGGCCTTACCTCTCAATCCCCCCTCTTAACAGCACACCTCAACTGCTGGGAAGTGGGCGATGACCACTCTAGCTACTTCCTGCTGGATAGGAGTGAAGAAGGGGCCCTGCAGTTGTAGTGTCCTCCAGAGAGGGACTCTCTAGGCCAGTCAAAGGACCAGTGTGTTGGTCCAGGGGTCCTCGGAAGAAGTTGTGAGTTGAGCTCATTTGGGGTTCTATTTGTAAGACCATCTGTAGGTTAATGGCCTCAATCCTGGAGGAAACAAGTTTGACAAGGAGGTTAAAAATACAGGGGCCAAAGGCGAGTCATAGCAAGATGGCTGTCACAGGATGTACAAAGGGGAGAAGCCATGTCGCTCAACTCCAGAGGTTGGTGTAAGAGTTCGAAAGGCGTTGTCTGATTTCAGAAGCCTTTTCCTGTAAATGCTGGGCACCATTTCATACTATCCCTGACTGGTTACCGTAAAAACAACACTCTTCCCCTAAGAAGGTGCAAAGTCCTCCTTTCTCAGCAGTGAGGAGGACTAGGCCTCGGTGGTTTTGGAGAGTCACTGCTGCCAAAGAGTCTATTTGGGACTGTAGAGTAAGGACAGATTTTGTTATTTTTTGCAAACTGTCTGAGAAATCCTTTGAGAGTGTGTGGTAGTAGGATAATGAAGTAGATAAAATGGCTATTCCGGATCCTGTAGCAGTGGTTATTCCTAACCCTGTAAGTAGAGGCATTACTTGTATGCCCCTGCACTGACAGACTTGAGCTTTGAGGGGCACTGATAGGATCTGATTTCCTGGGGCAATGTCAATGTTGGGACTTAGGAAGACTAAGGTGCAGGTGCCTGTTCAGTTGGTGGGAAGGCAGATATATGTTGAAGTTCCACATAAGAAGAATATGCCTTGGCTGGGTAGACAGAACTGGTTGTGTATGTTAAAAAGGTGTGTGAGTTTGTTGTTTTCATTTTACCATACTCCTAGAGTACTTGCAAAGGTAGCTCCAGTGAGTGGCTGGAAAATGGTGTTGGGAACAAACTGAGAGGCTCCCTGTGTTCTATTTTCTCACTGGAGAAAAAAACCGTTTTGTATCTACTAGGAACCATTCTAGAGAGTAATTGAAATTGGGGATGAGAAGGCATTCACTAGTGGTGGGTGTGCTGCCACAGGGGTTCCAGGGGTGAATGGTCATGCAGGGAGTATGTTTGCCATTACAAAACCCAGACTGTTAAGCAGGGAGGATGTGATGATTTTGGGGGGGCTCTGAGAAGCTGACAAGCCATCTGAATGGAGCTGTTTGGATGACTTGGAGGTCTTTTGTGAGAAAAGGTCGTCCATACAGCATTTCATATGGACTGAGCCCCATTTTGTGAGGAGAATTATGGATTCTCAACAAGGCCATGGGCAAGAGAGTAGGCCATGGGAGATGAGTTTCCTGTGTTAGTTTCCTTAAGTGCCTCTTGAGTGTTCAATTTGCCTTCTCGACCTTCCCTGAGAATTGTGGCCTCCAGGTGCAATGAAGGTGATATTGTATCCCTGGTGCCCTGGAAATTCCCTGAGTTACATGGCTCTAAAAACTGGATCACTGTCACTTTGTAAGCTTTGGGGAAGACCAAATCTAGGAATGATTTCATGAATTAGGACTTTAACCACTTCCTGAGCCTTCTCTGTATTGCAGGGGAAGGCTTCTATCCAATTTATAAAGGTATCAACACAGACCAAAAAGTATTGAACTCCCTTGACTTAGGCATATGGGTGAAGTCTAACTGCCAGTCCTCTCCAGGATAGTGCCCTATTCTTTGTTCCCCCAGAGGGGCCTTACAGTGGACCAACGGATTATTCCTTTGGCACACCTCATAGGCTTTGACTACTTGTCAGATGGTCTGGAGGAGATTTGACTCTGTAAATACAGATTTGGCCATTTGAAGAGTGTTCTCAATACCCATATGAAAAGTTTGGTGAAGGGTCTTAAGTATTTTCCACTGGCTGGCTTCGGGTATGAATACCTTTCCCTCTTTTGTCATTAACCACCCCAAGGGGAGAAAACTATGCCCCCATGAAAGTCCCCATTCTGTTTCGGCTGGGGAATACTGGGGCTTAATCTCTTGGAAAGTGTTGTTCCATACCAAGGGTCCTTCCATAGGTATTTCTAATGGGAAGTTCCCCCGGAAGCAATTTTGGCCTCAGCATCTGTCCAACAGTTTCCTTCTGCTTTTTCTCCTTCAACTTTTTGATGGCTTTGGCACTGTAAAATTGCCACCTCCTTGGGATTTTGCACTGTGTGCAATAACTCCATGATATCCTTGTGGTATTTAATGGGGGTTCCCCTTTCTGTAAAGGAACTCCCTTTCTTTCCATATCACAGCATGGACATGTAGGATTAGATAAGCATGCTTGCTACCTGTATACACATTTATTCTTTTTTCCCTTCCCGGTTCTAAGGCTTGGGTAAGCGCCACTAGTTCTGCTATCTGGGTGCTGGTCCCTGCGGGAAGTGGCCTACTTTCAAGTAGTTACATCACTAACTATGGCATAACCTGCTCTTCATATCCCATTCTCCACAAATAAACTTCCACTGGTATATAGGTTAAGGTCAGGATTAGCTAAGGGGACTTCTAAGAGATCCTCTCGGGTGGCATAAGTCTGGGCCACAATTTGTTGGCAGTCATGCTCTATTGGTTCCACATCCTCTGGGAGAAAAGTAGCAGGGTTGAGGGTCACACATGTGCATATTTGAAGCACCAGTCCCTCAAGGAGTAGCACTTGGTATCTAAGCAGGTGGGTGTCTGATAGCCATAAATTTCCTTTGGTACCTAGTATGCCATTTACAACATGAGTAGTCCAGATGGTGAGATCCTTTCCTTGTATTATTTTGATAGCCTATGATACTAAGCTGGCCACCACCACAACTACCTGTAAACAGTGAGACCAGCCTTTTGCTACTACATCGGTTTCCTTAGTTAGGTATGCCACTGGTTGTGGGGTTGTCCCACGAGTCTGAGTAAGGACTCTAAGAACTATTCCCATTCTCTGTGACATATAAAGAGAAGTTTTGTCCTATGGGAAGGCTTAAGGCTGGAGTTTGTATTAGGGCCTGCTTTAAGGTTTTGAAGGCTGTTTCTGCCTCTGGTTCCCATTCTACTAGATGAATATTTGCCCTCTGGGTCTCCTTGATTTTAGAGTGGCCTGGCTATATCACTGTATCTGGGGATCCATAGTCAGCAAAAGCTGGTGATCCCAAGGAACCCCCACTACTGTTTTAATGTCTTAGGGCAAGGACAAGCCAGTATAGGCTGTATTCATTCTTTGCTGAGGGCTCTGGTTCCTCTGGCTAAGATCAGGCCTAAATATTTGACTTGTAGGCAGAGCTGGGCCTTCAATTTAGACAACTTGTACCCTTGATTAGCTAGAAAGTTCAAGAGATCTAGAGTAGCCTGCTGTTTAGCCAAAAGTAAATCATCCACATACTGAAGGACCAGAGTGCCTGGACTTGAGAAGTGGCCTAGATCTTGGGCCAGTGACTGACCAAACAGATGAGGGGTATCCATAAACCCTTGAGTAAAGACCGTCCACGTAAGTTGGGATGTGTGGTCTGTGGGATCCTCAAAGGCAAGGAGAAACTGGGAGTCAGAGCGCAGGGGAATGCAGAAGAAGGCATCCTTGAGGTCCAGAACAGTGAACCATTCTGCTTCCTCCAGTATTTGAGAGAGCAAGGTATAGGGGTTGGATACAGCTGGATATAGAGGAATTACTGCATCACTGATGAGTCTAAGATCTTGCACTTGTCTCCACTGACCATTCGGTTTTTGTACTCCTAGAATTGGGGTGTTGCAGGAACTGCTGCATTTTCTTACTAAGACTTGAACTTTTAAATGTCTAACAATATCCTGTAATCCTTTATGGGCTTCAGGCCTTAAGGGATATTGCCTTTGATAAGGAAAAGTGGTGGGTTCTTTTAGCCTGCTTTGAACTAGGCAGGCATTTTTTGCCCTTCCAAATTATTCTTCCAATGCCCAGACTTCAGGGTTGATTCTCTCCTCAAGTAGGGGACAACAAATGGGTAACATGTACCTCATATTCACATAGATAATAGCTCCAGCTTTGGCTAATGTGTCCCTCCCTAATAAGGGTGTGGGACTTTCAGGCATAACAAGAAAGGCATGTGAAAAGAGCAAAGTCTCCAATTACAACTGAGGAGGTGGGAGAAATACCTGGTTACGGCTGTCCCCGGATTCCTTGGATGGTAATGGACCTTGAGGTCAGCTGTCCAGGGCAGAAGATTAACACTGAGAAAGCCACACCACTGTCCAGGAGGAAGTCAATTTCCTGAATCTCAGTGGTTAAACTTACCCAGGGTTCAGTGAGGGTGATGACATGAGCTGGCACTTGCCCTGGGTGCCCTCAGTCCTGTGGTTGGATCATCTGGCTGGGGGCTTCTGGCCCAGAGAACCTTTGTCCTCTGGGGCAGTGTTCCTTCCAGTGATTGCCTTGGCATAGTGGACATGTGTGAGGGAGCAGCTTGTTTCTTGTTGGACAATCTTTTTTAAAGTGTCCTTGCAAACCACACTGATAATAAGCCCTACCGGGTGATTGGCATACTCCGTTTTCTGTCCTCTCTGAACTACCAAGGTTTGTTTGTCTGAGGCCATGACTAAAGCTGTGGCCTTTCTCTTAGCTGTGGCCTTTCTCTTATCTCGCTATTCCTTTCTGGTCTGTTCCTCTTGGTCCCTATTATAGAATGCCGAGGTTGCCAGGTTTAATAATGCCTCCAAATTTTGTTCAGGGCCCAGGGCTAGCTTTTGGAGCTTTCTCCTGATATCTGTGGCTCATTGGGTAATAAACATCTTTTAGGATCAATTGACCCTCGAGGGAGTTAGGTGACAAGGGAGTATATTTTCTTAAAGCCTCCCATAGCCACTCGCAGAAGGCGGTAGGATTTTCTTCCTTTCCCTAAGTTATGGTGGACATCATTGAATAATTCATGGGGTTTTTCCTAATTCTCCTTAGTCCTTCTGTAACACAGGTCAACAGATGTTTGCAAATCCAGTCCCCATGATTTGAGTCGAGGTCCCAGTCGGGATCCATACTGGGGATGGCTTGCTGACTGGTATGGAATTTGTCCCTTTCTTTGGCTGTCATTCTATCATTTACTGGACTAAGATACCAGCTATCTCCAAACTCTCGGGCTGCAGCTAAAGCCACATTCTTTTCATTAAAGGCAAACGTTTGATCTAACAATAGCATGACATCTCTCCAAGTGAGACTGAAGGTTTGCCCTAGACCCTGTAGGACATCTATATATCTATGAGGAGCATCTGAAAACTTCCCCAGGTCTACCTTGATCTGCTTTAAATCAGGGAGGGAGAAGGGGACATGTACCCGGGTTGGGCCAAATTCCCCTTCCTCTACAGCTTGAAGGGGACATAACCGATAGCCCAGGGGGTTTTATGGTCCCTTGGAGATTTCTTTGCTTGTTTCCTTCTGGGTGGGGGAGATTAGAGGAGGCTCATGATTAATAGGAAGGGGAGCTGTAGGGAGGCTAGGATATGGGGGTAAGCTGAGAGGTCCTCCTGTGGAATGTAGATTGCAAACTTGGCATAGCTGTGGATTGTCCTTCAATGAAAAGAAAGCTTGGACATAAGGTATTTCACTCTATTTGCCTTCCCTCTTACAGCAAACATCAAGCTGCAGGATAGTATTGTAATTTATACTTCCCTCAGGTGGCCATTTTTCCCCTTCAGAGAGAGAATATTCAGGCCAGGCTGTAGTGCAGAAAAAAGTAAGCTGCTTCTTTTTCAGGGTTTGTGGGTCTAATTGGCCCCAATGGCTTAGGATGCATTTCAGGGGTGAGCTTGTTGATACCTGAGTGTTTCCCATCTAAAACAGAAAGAAAAAAAAATTCTTGCAGTTTTGGCCTGTTTTTTTCCCCCACCCAAGACCCTACAATGGTCCCTGGACCCTGCTGTTAGGGATAGTTGTGCTCACCAAAGCAGCAGCAGAAACACTTGTTTTCCTTCTAGGCCACAAAGAGGACCGAGGAAGGTCAGATTTAGTGGCCCTTACTGACACATTCTCAAAAACCTGCATCATTGCCTTTCCTCTTAGACCACAAAGAGGACCGAGAAAGGTGGGATTTAGTGGCTTTTACCGACGCAGTCTCGAAAACCTGTTAGTTAGAGTCATAAGCATTTTCTCCTGTTGGTATTGGGACTTTACCCTTGTCCTGTAAACATGATATGCCTCAAAATGGAGTGAAGGGCCACATCCTGAGGGAGGGAAGGGATCTCCAGGGTTGGAAGAGTGATGCTTTTTGTCCTCACTTTACATATGAATAGGAGGGATATCCTCCAATTTTGGAGTCTATAATTTCTGAGGCTCCCCATATTCTAGCTTCGGGAATAGCCTCTGTTAGGCCTGCTAGTCTGAGGAGGGATCCTAAAATTCTATATAGTCCCCCCCGATGGGGCTTTGGGCAAAAATTATGTCTTTCTGATTGGTGAGCCCGGGTGCTTAAAGAAAGGAACAGAGTCCCAAAATTTATATTAGAAATCATCCTTACAGGAGAAACTAGAAGAGTACCAGGGACAGGGAGTGGTTTTTAGAAGCAGGACTAGCCTCGGAGAAGAGAGGCAGGAAGAAGTTTGACTGATGGGTGTTAAGACCCAGGAGACAAGGGTCAGGATAGATGGGATAGATGGGCAAGTCTCACTTTGGCAACGTAACTTTGAGAGCTCTGCTCATGGCTGCAGGGTCAACCAACTTTTTGTCGGGACCCTGGAGCTGAATGGCTTTCCTCTCTGTCGACCCTCTGCTCAGCCCAGAAGTGCAGGAAAAGCAGAAGCTGCTTCCAGGCAAACTAACGCTCCTGACTCCTTAGAGTTGGGGGTTGTTAGAGAGCCCTTTCCCAGAAAGCCTGACACCCGTGTCTTTAGTCCAGCAGCCATGCTAGTTGCTTTTAACTGGCCAACAGGTGCCCAGTGTTTAGCCCCTTAATTCTAAGGAAAAATAAGACAGAATAGCAAGCGAAAGGTGTCCAGTGGTACTCAATGCGTGGTGAATCCCAGATGAGTCCCTAAGATGTGTCTGGAGTTGGCTCCTGCTGGTGGGTCTGTGGCTCCATTCTTGAAGTCAGCGAGACCACGAACCCACCGGCAGGAACCAGCTTCAGACACAAAACCACAATGGGGGATTTAAATTGCTTAGAAACTGGTCAAAATGATACTTTATTCTAAGTTTTATTATTTACCATACCAGTAAAATTTTGGAATCAAATTAAGTATAAGTAGAAAAATATATATATTTGCTGAGCTCCAAGCATGTGAATGAACTATGCAATTGGTCCACCTATCATTTGAAATATTTATCACTCTCCCAATTAGAAATATGAGGAATTTGAGACCTCGAGATTTTAGTAATTTTCTGAAGATTACTGAAGCGAGAGCATAGGTAGAATTGAAATTCTGTGCTGACTCCATAGCTCAAGTGACCTCTATCACACCATGCTGCTGCTACCTTAACTGGTCCAGATAGTGCGAAAAGTGGAGCTTGCTTCTATGGGTAGTATTTGATGTAAAGCACCTGTCATCTGTGTTGCTTACATGACACCTCAAAGTCATAGTTGTTATCATGACTTGTTCTTGCAAAAGTCTGTCTTGTTTCTCATGCATGGCTAGCTCAAAAGTGGCTATGTACAACAGTCAATTCTACCTTTCTTAACCTTTATAATCCTAACCTTTGGTTTACACTCAGTTTACTCATCTTTAAAATAGATCATAGGACTGCGGACTTCAAATTGGTGTTCATGAGTTAATATCACAAAGACCTAGTAGAGTACTTGGCACAGACTTAACTCTTAACAAATTTAGCTAACTTACAGCTACATCTTCTATCCCCAATAATAACAAGCAGCACCAAGTAGTGTGTAGTCCCTTAAAGCTGCATATAATAATATTAATAATTATATTTAAGGCAAGAAGACATCACCTTAGACATGAAACCTTGGAAATTCACACAACTTTTCTAGTTTAGTTTTCAAATCTAAATGAATGGTGATAAGTATGGTTCCCATCTTATACAGTTAATTATGAAGACTGTATGTGTTAATAACGTGAAGAAACCAATGCTCAGTAGTAAGCTTGTACATGATAGCAGCTCAAAATTATCCTGTTTGTTCTCTCCTTTGACCTTTTAAGAATATTTTACACTTCATAAGGCATTCTGTTTGCTCTTCTTTGCTCTCATAGCACCTTGCAATACATCTATTTTAATATCTATAACATCTATCATTGCAATTGTTTGATTTTTGTCTTTCTGCCTCATGAAACTCTTACTTTCTAAGGATAGTTGCTATGGCTTATTTATCTTTGACTTACTGGCATTTAGAACAGTAATGGAATGTAGTGGATATGAGAAATAGATATGTAAAAAATGTTTCAATGTTTTCAAATTTAGAGGAAGAAAGAATAAGAGAAAGTGAGACAGAGACATTGAAAAAGAAGAGATGGAGGAAAATAAGTGAAAAAGGAACAAAAGAAGGATGGAAGGAAGGAAAGAAAAATGCAGAGTAGAAAAGATAGAAAAATAATAAAAACAATTTCAACAAGAAACCTATAGTTCTAGCAGTTCCTTGAGTTGAAAAACTATATGTCATGTCATAAAATAGTTACATGCAGAATAATTAATGCTAATTGAAATTTCAAATACGTTTTGAGAATATAGTGGCAAAACCTGAAATCTTTGTGTAACTATCAGTAATCCCTACTTGGAATTTCTCCTATTTATTATTTAAAAACATTTCCACTGTATTTACAGAAATTGCATCCTCCAATCTTCATTTACCTTCTTCTTATAAATGAGGAATCTTGTTAAGAGCAAGAGCTCATGGTTGTCTTTGTCTTTCCCATATCTCAACACAATTTTTATGTCAAGCTACTTACCTTTGAAGTGAATGAAGACAATATCAATAGATTAAAAGGAAAAAAAAGACTTTGGATTTTTTTCACTGAGCTCAAATTGTGGCACACAAAGAGTAAGGAATTTAGGTAGCAGGAGACATCAATCTGTTGAATAATGTTTGTTTTGTTTTGTTTTTTTGAGACAGAATCTCACTGTGTCACCCAGGCTGGAGTGCAGTGGCATGATCTTGGCTCATTGCAACCTCTGCCTCCCAGGTTAAAGTGATTATCCCACCTCAGCCTCCTGAGTAGCTGGGACTACAGGTGCACACCACCACGCCTAGCTGATTTTTGTAATTTTAATAGAGATGGGGTTCATGATGTTTGGCCAGGCTGGTCACAAACTCCTGACCTCAAGTGATCCACCCGCCTCGGTCTCCCAAAGTGCTGGGATTACCGACATGAGGCACCATGCCCAGCCCTGAATACTGTTTTTAAGTTATTTTTTAAAGTTATGAAGGAGGAAATATAGCTAATTTCACAAATATTTATTGAGTATCTACTATGTACATCCATATCCACACATGGATACAGACAAAAGGCTATTTCTCTCCAAACACTCAAGGGATCCACAACCTAAGATAGTTGCAGAATAAATAAATTACAACATGAAGGGACATTTATAACTCTATAACTGCATGAAGTTTAAAGTTATTAAAGGAGGGTGTGCTACATGAAGCATCGTGGGAATTTTTCTAGAATGGAAGTTTCTGAAATGTGATTGGACAGTATCAGCATCAGCAATAAGAAGGTAGGAAGACAAAGGGCATTTTAGACGGACAGGGGTACAGAAATACAACTAACATGAGTATAACTGGGAATCTACCATCACTTTGGTATTACTGGAATGTATATCAAAAGGAGGAACCTACCATGCAGTGAGGCTGGAGAGGAACAAGAACTTGAGCTTGAACTTCATCTTCTAAGGATTAGATAAGCCAGGGCTATGAAGATACACAAGTAAATGTACGATTTTGTTTTAGAAAAACACTCTTCTAACTACCATATAAGTTATTTTCAAATTTGTCTAGTAATTTACCTTACACCAGTATTTCTCAAACAGAACCACACATTAAAATCACCTGGGTAGCTTATTAATAATACCAGTGTGAAATGTAATACCAAATCAAATCAGAATACCTGGGCATGGAGCCCAGCCATGAATATTTTGTATTTCTCATACGTAGCCAGGTTTGAGCATCACTATACTAACCCAATAACAGCAGAACACCATTTCAGGGAAGAAATGCCATGCATTGAGGCCCAGGTGATGGTTTGTTAGTATCAGAACTGGTCCACTGAGGTCTTAACAAGAAATAAAAACAATGGGAGAATTAGAAACTGTCTTGGTAATGCTTTCTTATATAGGTAAACCCAGCAAGCTACAACTGTATGTTAAACTTCAAAAGAACTCAATTTAACATGTGAATAATGGTTACATTAGAAAAAAAATTATGAAACTAGGAACCAAATCCCCCCAAAAAAGGATGCTTCTGGGAAGATAGAAAGTTTGGTGAAAATACAGATAATTTTAATATAATAGACAACGAGTTGCCTGACCTGGCAATGGAGATGTAACATCTGTGTTGAACTTGATACTTTCTCTCTCTCTCTCTCTCTCTCTCTCTCTCTCTCTTCTTCTTCTCTCACCTACCTGTGACCTTTCTTCATACAACTTTGTAACCTGCTGTCCTACAGCTGCTGCTGAAACATTACTGCTAATAGGACTATTTTCCCACAAATGCAATGTACTCCACAAATCCTATCGGTCTTCTTTCACAGAACTATTAACCCCAAACTTAAGTCAATAAATGTCTGCACGGACTTTCCCACCATGGAATGCACAATCCAAAAAATTTAAAATTCATAATAAAAAACTTCATTTAAGCTAGTCCAGACTTACTGTTTTCTGAAATCATCTGGATGACTACAACAAGAACATTACTTTTTAAAAGTAGATGTTATATTCTTTTTTTTTTTCTTTTGAGACAGAGTCTCCCTCTGTCGCCTAGCCTGGAGTGCACTGGTACAATCTCAGCTCACTGCAACCTCCGCCTCCCAGGTTCAAGAGATTCTCCTGCCTCAGCCTCCCGAGTAACTGGGACTACAGGCACCCACCACCATGCCCAGCTAATTTTTGTATTTTGAGTACAGACGGGGTTTCACTATGTTTGCCAGGCTGGTCTCGAACTCCTGACCTTGTGATCCACCCGCCTTGGCCTCCCAAAGTGCTGGGATTACAGGCATGAGCCACCATGCCCAGCCAATGTTATATTCTAAAAACACAGTAAAACATGCAAAGCTATTAGAATTTGCAGAAATTTGAACATATCCATTCCCCACTGATTTATTCAACATCGTGAGATGCAGAAATATTTTGTTTGCCTAACACTGCTTAAAAGAATATTAATTGTTAAAACAATGGTCTACAGTGATGGCAATTAAAAGAAGCATCAGTATATTGAAACCGTAGCTAAACGAGAAGTCAAGGAAAGGACAAGGACCCACAGGTATGAAAATATTGCATCAGAAGTCCTAAGATGGGAACCTAAAATATTGTCTAAAGAAGTTAAAACAGCTTAAAAGCAAAGATTATGTTTGTGCAACGTATTACTTTCACTTTAATGTTCAATAGAAACAAGGGTTAATAATATTGATTTAAAAATATTTTGTAGATTAAAGAATGCAAAAATATCTAACACAACACCCAACACATGGTAGAGCTTAATATATTTGTCTCTTCTCTATTCAAAAACATATGAAACAAAATTTTTTCCAAGTAATGTGTCCTCTAATCTGTGCAACACATTCTGATATTCTTCACTAGATTTCTATTTTGCTTTTAAATGATTCTTTGGAAACATTAAATAGAATTTACAACCCACTAATTACTTGCCACCCCAATCTGAAACATAATTATATAAATGCTGTTGAACACAAAGTTATTAAGGATCAATATTCTTGATACCATACGTGGGAGATGTTTATTGGTTTTACACAGGTGACATTATGAAATCATAGAAAAAGTGAATGTTCCCATAACACAAATGGTTGGGAAAAAAATCCTTTGACTATCTTATTTCTTCTTATTATTCTTGAAACTATTCTCCAAAGCAGAGAAAGTGCTGGCAGGACAGATTATACAGAAAGAATGGGTCAAGGACACGGGTGGCCTCAGGTTCTCAAGAAAGCAGGACCCAGCATTGTCCACAGCATACTGGAAAATGAATACAGGTCCCCTAACCAGGGGACTATATAATTTATTCTCCAAACTGGAGCAATACTAAAATGGAAAACCATGATTAATTGCACCAGGGCAACTTTCATTAACCTAGAACCACACCAGGCAAAACTGGAAGTATAGTTACCCTCCCCAAAACTATTATAGTTGAGGAGAAGTTTTGAGAAACAGAAGATGAAGACATGAAGTATTATCTGCAAATAGTAATCAGTTCCTTTTTCAAATAAGAAAATATCTCACAATGTTCATGTGTGAGAGTTATATGAAGTAATGAATATAAAACACATGGAAACTGTCCTTTATGTAGGGAGTGCTATGTAAGTTTAGTAAACTGTACTCGGGTATTTCCTCCTTAGAAAAAAAGGGCCCACTTGCTATTTGCAGAAAACAGTGCCTAGAACCAAACATAATATACTCTTGTTTAAGTCCTAGTGGAGAACAATTATTGTCAATTTCTCAAAAAGGTTATTTAAAAATCACCATCAGATCCCACTGCCTATATTGTAGGGTCAACAGTTTTGAGTTCTCATTACAAACTAAATTACTAATTCCCAGCAAATTATTTGTTTGTCTCCTCAGCAAAATGTGCATACATACATACATACATTCCTTTGGCCAAGTGGAACTTGGTGGACAGTTACACTGCAAGATTGAAGGTTTCTAGGTTGAGTCAATTCTCTTAAATAATATGCCACACCTAGCTTGCTTTAACATGACTGACTTATGTGTTATCTACATGGTGAACATTCTTAGCTTTTGCTGATCCTTAATATTTCAAGAAGTCCAAATGAAAAGTGGGGCTGTTTTGACAAATCATAATTACAGAAATAAAATTAATATGTGCTCAGATATATGGAAAAAGAGAACAACTCCCTAGAGGTCGATAAATTCAGAAGTGAATGTAACATTATTTATTGAGAATCATCTTTGTGACAGGTACTGTATTAGGATATTTGCTTATTTTAAGTCACTTTTAGATCTAATCATTGCAAATACAATACAAGTCAGTGGGGCTTTAAAGGGGTGAAATAATGTATTTACCTTCAGAAATATTACTTTTGCAGCAACCTATATAAGTGATAATAGTGTGATTGAAACTCTGGTCTCCTGGCTGTAACACCTGGGTTCTACTCACCACTCTAGAGCCTCAATCAAATACTTCCAACTTTGTGTATCTCCATAAAACACATTCCCTAGGCTATTGGGCAGTTTTGATCAAGTTTGAGTCTAACACCTTAATCCAAGTGTCATGCTGGAGCAGTTGTAGAATGACGGCAAATGGTACTCGGTAGCAAGGTAGAGGGTTGGGGGCTTTCTCCTCCCTATGATGTCAGGCTGCAAGTCCTCTGGACTAAAAAAAAAATCTGTAGATGAAATTCTTGCAATCAACAGTCATCAAGCCTAAAGATAGCAATACATCGAAATAAAAACTGTTGTTTTGTGGTATTTCTACATATAAGAGTGCCCAAAAGGCATATGCTTCTCTCTTTACCCTCTTTCTGTATGCATCTGTGATAGAAAGGAAGGGAGCAAATACAATATCTGAAGAGAGAAAAGGCTGGAGTTAGTACTCTTTGCTTTCACCAGTCACCTCTGTTAGTTTTATAATGGATGCAAGTGCCAACTGGAAATTTTTCCCTTTCTTTTCTCCCCCACCCTCACATGGTACATTCTAAATACTACACTTGTATTTTTCGGTTAAGATTGTGCTCAGTGCTCCGACTCTCTTTCTCGCCACTAATATTTATCATCCGTTGGCATATTGTTTCGAGTAAACATAATAACCTCTGTAAATGCAAGTTGCTTTACTACAAAGTGGAAGGTGTTAATATCATGGGTACAGTAATTCTGCAGGAGAAAAAAAAAAACCTGTAGCTTATAATTTGGAGTCATTTGGCACCTCTGGGTCTATTCAGGAAAAGATTGTTTAAATGAGACAATAAGAGGAAACCAATTTACAACTTGAAATAAGCAGAGCTCATGTTTCCATATTGCTAAAAGGCAAGGTTAGATGAACACTTGTACAGTTATCATAAAATTTTTATCAAGAAGCTGCAGTACCTTTAATAATGTATTATTTTACCTTCTTGCAAGAACTCCTCTATATGCTTTTAAAATGTTGTTTTCATTATCCTGGAAGAGTTGGTTGTAGAAAGGAATCCTTCTCTAACTACATGGTGTCAAATGTATTATCAAGGAGTCATGATTAGTATAAACTAATTTTATCCCTCCTCTTTATACATCATCCAATTCATTGTATTAACAAAAGCATCCACTTTTCTGCCTACATCAACTTAATAGCATATTGAGGGAAACACAAAATTGCATATTCAAATCACCCTGAGAGGCTTGAAGAAATTATAATGCATGAGCTAAGGTTTCTTATGAAGATCTAGCATTAACAGGCATGTATCTTGTTTCACTAAAAAGAGAATTCCTTCTAACACCTTAATGAATGAAATTTTGTAGATTGCTAAATATATAATCTGCCAAGAACCTAACAATCTACTTTTGATAGCATTTAGTATGAAGGATGGTAAAAGTCGCATGACATTACATGATCAAGTTGAGTTAGTAGCTTAAACTTCAGCCCACAGATGAACAATCAAATGTGGATATGGTTGTCTGATCATTCTCAGATGTAGAGAAGCCATTGGTCTTTTGTTAGATATAATTTAATTGCACAACACATTCATCTGGCTGTCTTCCTGACTTCAGTGTATCTTGTCAGATTATTTTTTAAGGCCTTATCTAGTGACTGAGTTAGATGGTGTCATAAAATGAAAATATGGCTCACAGTGTGGAGGAATAAAATCCCCCAAATTTATTAAATTTTTAAA
Source organism: Homo sapiens (assembly GCF_000001405.40). NCBI lineage: Eukaryota > Metazoa > Chordata > Mammalia > Primates > Hominidae > Homo > Homo sapiens. The sequence continues at coordinate 131,561 of NW_017363818.1, read as the reverse complement.
ATACAAAGCTAGAAGCTTGAATCTATAATAAAATCTCCTGACCTGAGCTTTACATTCTTGAATTAAACAAATTTGTAATCTTAAAATGTGTTAAAGAATTTCAGCATGTTTGCCATGATTTGATCATTTCCAAATTATGAATTTTAAAACTTAACCCAGGGAATAACAACAACAACAAAAAAAAGCAAGACAAAACAAACAGGTTCTGCAGCATCCTAGTTTGGTGATTTCATAATTAACAAGTACATGTTTATAACAAATAAATACTTTTCATTCAAACACCATATTTATCATATAAAATCTCAGTATCATCATTTATAATACAAATAAAAATTTTTTTACACTTTCATTGAAAAACCATGGGCACCGAGTGTTTTCAACTTTCATATAAAATTTGAATTAATCGATAGAGAGATGGTTGGCAAAACCCGGGCCCAATTCTTGATATCTCAACCTTACCTGCACAGCATGCTGCATATAATTTGATCCTTTAATGAGCTAAATCCACACAAAATGTCTGAAACATCAAAGAATATTTACTCAAAAGGCCTAAAGGAGAGGTGAGAAGTCACTTGACAAATGTCCAAAGAGAGCTTGTGTGTTTATTTTAATAAATAGAACTTTGGCCTCAAGAGAAAAGCAAAAGCCCATTTTTGTTCCCTCTCTTCACGTCCTCCTGTCAGCCACCCCACTCCTGTTGCTGGTCTCAGAGGGGACTAAGAAGAGTATGAATAGTACGTGAAGTTTCCTTCAAACAAACTTCTTTTTGGACCCTTGTTTTTACCCTAAGCCTGTCCATAGCCATAGAATCAAGAGTATCATGAATAAACAATTAAGCTGGAAAACAGTGTGTGTGTGTGTGTGTGTGTGTGTGTGTGTGTGTGTGTGTAGAGGGGGAGAAGAACATTTGGTTTATCAGTCAAAAGTTGGCCATCTATACATCACCTGGATTCAGATCTAGCTTTGTCACTGGGCCTCAATTTACCCATCTGTAATTATGAGGTTAATATTAGAACCTAACTTATTAGGTTGTTGTGAATATGAAATGAGATAAAAATGTTTAATCCCATAATAATACTTATAGTGTGTACTAAGTGCCCAATAAATGCTATATTTTATGGAGCTTTCTGATCTGCTAACAGCAGCAGGTTTTATGTAGCAGTCCATGCCTTCATTCATTCACCCCTTCATTATCTGGCATCTGCTATAGGCCAGGCAGTATAGTTTACATACACTGAAGACAGCTGTGAAAAAGACAGATAAAGTGTGTGTGTGTTTGTGTTTGTGTGTGTGCATGTGTGTTTTCAAGACAGATCTTACTCTGTCACCTAGGCTGGATTACAGTGGCACAATCATGGCTGACTGCAGCCTCGATCTTCCAGACTCAAATGATCTTCCCACCTCAGCCTCCCTAGTAGCTGAGACTACAGGAGTGCACTACCATGCCAGGCTGAATTATTGTTTTTATTTTTATAGAGGCAGGGTCTCACTATGTTGCCCAGGCTAACAAATAAGGTCTTAACGCTCTTGAGTCTTATAGTGTTTTAACAATTTTCAGCTGATAAATATTTGACACACAGTACTCAATACATAATTAAGCACCCAAAAGAAAGGGGCTGCCAGAGCTTATGCAAGAAGGGTTTGATCTGATCTGCAAGCACAGGGAGAATTCTATTAAGAAATAAATGTTAAGCAAAGACCAGAAGGATAAGTCAGCCATTTACATCATCAGAAGATGGTTCAAGGCAGAAGGCATTTGTGTTAAATTTCTGTAATAGGAAGATGCATGGCATAGGGATGGAGTGTATTGAGGTAAAGCTGGATTCTTATCAGTCAAGGCCTCACCACCCATGTCAGAGATTTAGGGTTTGATCCTAAGAGTTATGGGCAGCTATGAAAGTTTTAATCATGAAAATGACCAGCTTTTCTTATTCAATAGACTACACGGTTGCAGCATAGAGAATGGATTGGAGAGGTGAGAGGTTAATCCCAGAGATCCATTGGGAATCTAATGCGGTCATCCCGGTGAGAAAAGATGGTGGCTTACACAATATGTAAAGGTAGAAATGGAGCAAAGTAGATAGACTCAAGAGAGGTGGTGGAAACCATTCAACTAATAATGTCATATTAAATACAGATAGGCAAAGTACTAGGTGATCAATCTATTTAAAACAAGATCCAAGTCAGCTGCTGAGGGACAATTGGAATTCTGCAGAATCCTCTTGCCTTAGAGAGTAGTGAGAAACAAGTAGAGCTTTTAAAAAAATTGTCAAGTGGCTGAGATTCAGCGCACAGGACAAGACTCCTAGTACCTATGAAGGTCTAAAAAACACAGTAAAATACAGATGCAAAACTTGGCTCCACCTAGGGGTTTTCAAAGAAAATCTGAAACCTGCTGGGTAGGAAGGTGATCAAAGTAAGTCCCAGAAATGGCCAGATGCACGTACCTATGACTAAGTGGAAGAGAAGTGCAAAGTAGAGGTTGAGAGCCTTAGATGCATGGCCAGACTGCCTGGGTTCAGATCCTGACTCTGGGCCAGTTACTTAACCTCTCTGTACCTCAGTCTCCTTCTCTGTAAAATTAGGATGATGATGATAATAATATGTGCTCACAGGGTTCCTTCTAATGACTGATTTAGAGAATTGCCTCACACATGCAAAGAGATAAGTACATTCTAGCTCTTCTTAAGATTTTGACGCCATTGGCTGATGGGTCTGAAATTGCTCTGCCTAAATCAGAATGAGCTCATGAGAGCTCAGTGAGGCTGCGACATTATTGAATGGCATCAAGACCCATAGCTGATTAGGGAGGGTTAAGCAAGACAGATGGGAGGGAGAACTAGGAACAAATAACCCAGATTCAAAACAAAGACCAACTGTGAGGTCAGAACTTTTGCTTTCTGTTCCCAAGCACTATCTCTTTTGGTGGGCTGAACAGCAGGAGATAAGGTTATCAATCTATGAGATAAATCAGTGGTTTGGAAACTATAGGAATGGGAAGATAGACTGATGAATGGAAGTCGTGTAATTGTTGCCTACATTCTTTGGCATGAAAAAAATTAATCTCTTATAAAAATCGATTGTATTCCTTTGTGTTCCAAGTTCCAAAGCACTTCCACTTACCTTTGATTTTTGTGGACCATAAAGCCCAAGATCTTAAGATCAATGTTAAAAATACAATTTTTATCCACTGTAAGAATTATTGTGAAGGTATTGCATGTCAGGGAGCAAATTAGCAAAGGAAGAATGACATCAGAATAAGTCACAAAGTTTTTATTTTTAAAAAAGAAGAAAAAGCCCCACTTTGATTTGATATTCCCAGTCAAGAAACTACAAACCAAATTTTCTTTCCATTTACCAGAAGAGTATTTTCTTGCTTTAAAACACTCAGAAATTTAGCATTTGGTGTGTGGCTGGCTTTGCAGCACTAAATAATGATTATTATTGTTTGGAAATGTTAATTAAAATGACAGCATTTTCTACAAATCTCAGCAAGAGACTTTTATGTCTGCCTTGTGGCTGCAGTTTGTCTTTTGCTTAGGATTCAGAGATAATATCTGGGCAGCATTAAGCTGGATCCGTCAACACTCTTGTCACAATAGATGGCTTTGGGTGCTGGTAATGGGCCTCTGAGCCATCTACCTCTGGGTCACTAGTTCACATGTGGCCCAAGCCAAAAGTGAATGAGACTCATTATTCTCCCAATGCTGTGAAGAACATTTTCTAGAATAAACCTGCAATGCCTGGCCAATATCTAGGGCAAAGGAAACCTAATTACAGAGTTGTATTGTATTAATTAGCTCAATTTTAAAACAGTAATAACAGCTCTTTAGAATTCAGGCAAAGTAAATGCTATATATCTATTTTTAAGTAATGGAGCCAAATCTGTTGATGTTTACGTTCCAAGTTAGCATAAGGCAAGCAATTTGAGAGAAAAGAGACATTGCCCTTATTCTCACTAAAGTGCTTGATCTCCTCCACTACTACTGACTATGCACTAGTAGGCCAAAACAGACACAGACTGAAATATGAGCAAATGGTATTGGTTGAAAATCATGATTCTACCCCACTCCCACTGACCTGGCAAACTGATGGATTGGGATCATAGTGGAAAGGAATTAAGTTGTGTTCTATATGATTACTACAAATCTTCAATATATGCCTTACTCTGTTTATCTATAGAATGAGAGTAATAACAATGGCGCCAGCTTCTAGGCTTCTTATGAGTATTGAATAAAATAATGCCTGTATAAACCTCAGTATATTGCCCTGACTCAATAAATGGTTGGTGATGATTATAATGACAATGATGTCAACAACTGAGTGTATTTGGCCTATTAGTTCAGTCTGTGCATGTGTAATAGAAAAATAGGCTAGCTACATGGTTAAAACAGACATAGAATATTAAGGAACTAAACAATTAATTACAGATAATTTAAAGGAAAGCATGTGAAAGCCTAACTCACAGCTAGACCTGTATAGTTACCCTGCAACTAGTCAACAATCTCTCTTCTCAGAAAACACATTTGATGTCTATTATATATGCACACACAGGGTTCTAGGTATAGCACATCTCTTGGAGTCCTGAAGTCAGCGCATTATAAATCAAGGAGCACTATGTTCTCAGCAAAGAACCAGCCATGAATTGCAACTCTGCTTCTTGTTTTAAATACAGTTTTGTTGGAAATACAGTTAAGTGAGTTATCTTGAAGGAAATAAGATAAGAAAATAAGGAATAATGAAAGTATATTTTGGCATTTAACACTCAGGAATAGAAATAAAAAAACTGAAATTTCTTCCAGTTGACTTATCTTGAGTCAGACATCAGTTTCCCCAAAACTGATCTTGAATCAAGGATTTCGGTGCAAAAGATCTGTAAAGAAAACATACCTACAAGAAAACAATATGGGGGTAAAGCAGGCAGGCCACATAAAGGGAAAGTTGCTAAACAAGTTTTCAATTACAGAGGAAGTCTCAAACTTAGTCTGTTCCTTCAGGGAAGCTTTGTCCAATAGAACTTTGAGTGATGATGGAAATGTTCTATATCTGTACTGTTCAATATGCTAACCACAAGCCATATGTGGCTAATGAACACTTGAAATGTGGCTAATGCAATTGACCATCACAATATTTAATTTTATTTAATTTTAATTGATTTAAATTTTAGTAGCCACAAGTACTGGACTGATCAGCTCTAGAGCATATATTCCACCTTACAGTTTATTATCTTACCTCAAGCAAAGAAGCTGGATTTTGTGTTCCCATACTAGCCAGTCATTGGCTATTGCCCCGCCCAACATAAGGCACCATGTCACTTCCAGCTGTATCATTGGCAAGTGGTTTAAGTGTCCAAGGGAAATCTTCAGATTGAAGCAATTAGCCACAAAAAATGCAGAAGCTGGAGGATGGGCACACAAGATTGAGAAACTGGATGCAATGTGGTCTGAAGGATACATCCAGTGGTACCAGTGGAAGGAGGTACCACTGGATGCAATGTTGTCTGAAGGAGGTATCAATGTGGTCTGAAGAAGGTACCAGCAGCATTACGAGGTATAAAATCTGCTATACCTCATAATCACTAAAATTCTTCCTCTCAGCCAATCTTTGACCACAGGGAGTTGATGGCTGAAGCTGTAGTTCTCCCAAATGACTCAGCTTTGGGCCAGTGCTTCTTTGGCCAACCTCCTGGCTGCACCAGTATAGACCTAGTTCTTCTCATACCACCTGAAGCTCTCACTAAGGCAGAGAAGAGTGGTAAATCATCCCCACCGTGATAGCAAGTTATAAGGCATCTTAGATTGTTCATGCTATTTCAATTTTGTAATAAACCCTGCTGCTCAATTACTTGCATTTGATTTTCTTTATAGTCTCTCTCTCAACACACACACACACACACACACACACACACACACACACACATTTGTCTCCACTTAGGAAGACTAAAAAGATGCTTTGAAATTGAGTCCATTGATGTACAAGGGAGAATATTAAATGTTTAGTCTGGTTATACTCTATTCCATTGACAAGTGACCAGTATCTCAGGAAAGTGCCAAAGAACATCATTGCTCTGCTGATTAAAGTCAGTCTCTTGCCTAACTGGGACTTATTTTGAAAAGTAATGGGGCCTTCTACAACACAGATCAGATAATTTTAATTCCAGAGATTTGGGACATAACTATCAGTTCCAAAGTTTATACTGTGTGCTAGAGGTGGGTATATAGTTTGTAAACCCCACTGGGGACCACTCTAAATGATATTATTTCTTGGAAACAAAACCTAACTAGGCTGATCATTAAACTCAAAACATGGATCAAAATGGGAGTTGTTTTTTTCCAATAATTTTAGAAAGAAAAAAGAGACATATTTGTATTTTTAACAAAATTTATAACCATACTAGTTTTGATTGACACAAGCAAAGAATTTTGCGGTTTTTTTTAAAGGCTAAAAACATTTAGAAGTTAAATTATTAAGCTAATTGAAATGTGGCTCATTGGTTTTCCAAAGTAATCATCATTTTGTTGTTAATGAATGTAGCTATCTGTAACTTATGACCAATGTGCCTCCCACCAGGCCCACAGATGATAGGCAAACATGTTGATTTTTTTAAAACAGTAAATATTCTAGGTGCTTGTGCCTAAATTATCCCACTGACTGATAGTCTCCACATCTTGTCTCAAATAGTAGCATTAATGAAGAGGAAATGAAAGGAAAAAGTTAAGTCCAAATTGGAAGAAATACAAAATCTCTAAGGGCTTTGTGTTGTCGTCATTCCCACAGCCTCACCAAACTTTCTAACAAAGACTGTAAAATAATGCTCTTTTTAATCATCTGGTCTTTAGTCTTCTCCTCTGGAAAAGTGAGAATGGGAGTGTGATTTTTCCTTCTGGTAACTTTCCATGTTGCTTTGTAATGTAGCAGAAATTACACTGGGCTGGGAGTTAGAAGATCTAAATTACAGTCCTGACTCAATCCCATACCAGGTGTGTTCCTTAAGTAAGAACCCGGGTATTTTATATCTCATTCTGTTGTTCTTTCTGTTTCATCACTGTACATATGACAAAAAGGGGCAAGGGTAGAGAGGTTCTGGCAAATAAGTGTATACAGCTCTCTCATCTTCTCTGAATTTGTGATTAGGCACACCTAGCTTCCCTACTCAGCTCTTTTTTGTATTAACTATATAAATTAGTTCCTCTTTGTCCAAGACAAAAATCTAAATGCAAGAAAGGGCATTTATTGGTTCATGTAATTATACAGCCTAGAAATTATAAAGCCTAGTTCTGATTTTGGACACACCTGGATTTGGGGGCTCAAATATTCTCATCAAGACCTGGTATCTTGCCCCTCCTGGAATCTACCTTCCATTGTTTTGAGATCTATTCTTAGACTGTCTATGGAAGGGCCTGGTTCTGAAAGCCTTATAAATACATGTCTAGTAGAAAATACAGATTCTAATTCTGGTAGCTTCTATGCTATTCCTAAGAATGTCTCACTATAGGCCATATGACTGAACCTGAACTAATCATCATTCTGAGCAGAATGCAGTCCTTTGGTTGGGCCTAATTACAGGCTCCATTGCTAAAAGATGCAGGACTAATCAATATAGGCCAGTAAGAAAAGACTAATACTGCAGAATACTTATGAAATTAGGCAAGTTCCCTCATATGAAAAAGGAATATAATCATATCCCTCTCTAGGACATTATGGGAATGAACCAAAATCATAAATGTGAAGACCCAGATATTCTGCTTAGAACACTGGGAAAAATCACAATAATTGTTAGTTGTCCATATTTACAAATCAATCCTAGGTCTTTAGGATAGCTTCTCAAAATACTCATGACTTTCTCAGATTTGTAGGGTTCACCTAACCAAAACAAAAGTAATAGTAATTCTAAGTGTGTATAGAAAATACAATAATACAATAAGTATTATCTACATACCTAGACAGCCAAAGCAGTTTCCCTTGACTCATATTAGTTTTCAGTGGTTGCCTTATAAACTATTGCAAATGTAATGGTTTAAAATAGCATACATTTATCTCACAATTTGTGTGATTCAAGAGTCTAGGCATGGCTTAGATGTTTCCTCTGCTTAGGGACTCATAAGGAGAATCAGAGTCATTCAATCCCTGTTTTCATCTGGTTGCTTGTATTAGTCCATTCTCATGCTGATAGGTAATTCATAAAGCAAAGAGGTTTAGTTGACTCACAGTTCTGCATGACTAGAGAAGCCTCAGGAAACTTATAATCATGGTGCTAGGAGAAGCAAACATGTCCTTCTTCACATGATGGCAGGAAAGAGAAGAATGAGACTTGAGCAAAGGGAAAAGCTCCTTATAAAATAATCAGATCTTGTGAGAACTCACTCACTATCACAAAAACAGCCTGGAGGTAACCGCCCCCACAATTCATTTACTTCCCACCTGGTCCCTCCCATGACATGTGGGGATTATGGGAACTACAACTCAAGATGAGATGGGTGGGGACACAGCAAACCATATCATTCCACACCTGGACCCTCCCAAAACTTATGTCCTCACATTTCAAAACACAATCATGCCTTCCCAATAGTCCCCCAAATTCTTAATATATTCCAACATTAACCAAAATTCCCAGTCCAAAGTCTCATCTGAGACAAGGTAAGTGCCCTCCCCATGTTAGCCTGTAAAATCAAAAGCAAGTTAGTTACTTCCTAGATACAATGGGGTTACAGGCATTAGGTAAATACAGCCATTCCATATGAGAGAAATTGGCCAAAACAAAGGGCTACAGGCTTCTTGCAAGTCCAAAATCCAATAGGGCAGTTATTAAAACTTAAAGTTCCAAAATGATCTCATTTGACTTCATGTCTCAAATCCAGGGCATGCTGATACAAGGTGGGCTCCCACAACGTTGGGCAACTCTGCCTTTGTGGCTTTGCAGGGTACAGCCCCTCTCCTGGCTGCTTTCACAGGCTGGTGTTGAGTGTCTGCAGCTTTTCCAGGTGTATGATATAAGCTGTTGGTGGATCTACCATTCTAGAGGGTCTGGAGGATGGTAACCCTCTTCTCATAGCTCCACTAAGCAGTGCCCCAGTGGGGACTTTGTATGGGGGCTCCCACCCCACATTTCCCTTCTGCACTGCCCTAGCAGAGGTTCTCTATGAGGTCTCTGCCCCTGCAGCAAACTTTTGCCTAGACATCCAGGCATTTTCATACTTCCTCTGAAATCTAGATGGAAGCTTCCAGACCTCAATTCTTAACTCCTGCACACCTAGAGGACCAACACCATGTGGTAGCTGCAAAGGCTTTGGGCTTGCATCTTCTGAAGCAATGGTCCAAGCTCTACCTTGGCCCCTTTTAAGCCACAGCTGGAGCTGAAGCAGCTGGGATGAAGGGCACCATGTCTCCAGCCTGCACAAAGAAGGGGAACCCAGGGTCTGCCCCATTTTTTCCCTCCTAGGCTTCAGGGCCTGTGATGGGTGGGGCTGCTATGAGGATCTCTGATATGCCCTGGAGACATTTTTCCCATTGTCTTGTATTAACATTTGGCTCCTCATTACTTATGCAAACTTCTTCAGCAGGCTTGAATTTCTTCTCAGAAAATGGGTTTTTCTTTTCTATCACATTGTCAGGCTGCAAATTTTCTGAACTTTTATGCTCTGCTTCCCTTTTAAACATAAGTTCCAATTCCAAACTGTGTCTTTGTGAATAAATAAAACTGAATGATTTTAACAGCACCCTAGTCACCTCTTGAAAGCTTTGCTGCTTAGAAATTTTTTTCACCAGATACCCTAAATTATCTCTCTCAAGTTCAAAGTTCCACAGATGTCTAGGGCAGGGGCAAAATGCTGCCAGCCTCTTTGCTAAAACATAGCAAGAATCACCTTTTCTCCAGTTCCCAAAAAGATCCTTATCTCCATCTGAGACCACCTCAGCCTGGACTTCATTGTCCATATCACTATCAGAATTTTGGTCAAAGCCATTCAACAAGTCTATAGGAAGTTCCAAGTTTTCCCACATCTGCCTGTCTTCTGAGCCCTCCAAATCTCTCGGAAGTTCCCACATTTTCTGGTTTTCTTGTGAGCCCTATAAACTGTTCCAACATCTGTCTATGACCCAGTTCCAAAGTTGCTTCCACATTTTCATGTATCCTTATAGAGGCACCCCACTCTCTGTGGTACCAATTTACTGTATGTTTGTTCTCAGACTGTTAATAAAAATATACCTGAGAATGGGTAACTTATAGAGGAAAGAAATTTAATTGACTCACAGTTCCACATGGCTGGGGAGGCCTCAGCAAACTTACAATCATGGTGGAAGGGGAAGCGAACATGTTCTTCTACACATGATGGCAGGAGGGAGAAGAACAAGAGCTGAGTGAAGGGAGAAACCCCTTATAAAACCATCAGATCTTGTGATAACTCACTATTATGAGAACAGCATGGAGGTAACCACAGCCATGATTCAATTACCTCCTACCTGGTACCTCCCACAACATGTGGGATTATGAGAACTAAAATTCAAGATGATATTTGGGTAGGGACACAGCCAAATGATATCAGTGCTCAACTAGGAAAGAATCTGCTTCTAAGCTCATTAAGTTGGTGGGCAGGGTTTATTTCCATGTGACTATATTCCCTAGGGCCCTAGCTTCTTATTGGCTGTTGGTTGGGGATGACCCTCAGATCCTAGAAGTTCCTCTCCATAGGCAGTTCACAGCATGGCTTTTTGGCTTTTTGCTTTTTCCAGAACAATAGGAGAATCTCTTTCTCTCTCTTTCTTTCTCTCTGTCTCTGCTAGAACTTATGGAACCAAACCTAATATGGGGAGCACTTTGTCATATTTGATTGTTTAGAAGCAAGTCATGGTGGCCACACTCAACATAAGGGGTATTATCCAAAAGCATGACTCAATTAGGACCCTTTTAGGATATATCCACAGTACCTCCACATTATAACACTAGATAACAATTATATATGTATATATATTTTTTTCATTGAATTCTCACAAAATACTGTTAATTAGCTAAATTGTGATTAGTTATTCATATTCAAGGAAATAAAAGAAAGAAAATTGAGGTTAATTATACTGGTTAAATCACTTGCCCAAATGTACAGGCAATTATTAGCAAATCTGAGCATTCACATTTTTTTTTATTTTCAGCTTTTCTTTCTGCCTTATCATGTTATACTTCAGTGATTTCCAAATGTCAGTCACTTGAGCACCTCCTTCACAAATTTTGCCTAGATGTAGGCTAACCTAACATTACATAGGTAATTATTTTTAGAAATAATAAACCATTCTTTATGTAAATACATTTGTTTTCATAACCATATTTATATTTGTACTGCAAATGGAAGACCAGTACCAGTTGCATTAGAGGAAAGTAAAATCTAAAGATACATCTATTTGGTTTAATATTGTTTATTTGTATCCTTCCTAAATTCTTGTTGCATGTTACTAGTGTATGTCACAGTCACACCAGGGAAAGCAATCAATACATATATGTTGAAAGAAACCTCAAAAGATGTCCCATTCCTAATTATATCTGATAACAAAAAGAACTTGGGGTGTCTGGCATGTATTCTTGCATTCCCAGGAATATATGTTTTATTATGAGGCGGCAAAGAGCCCAGCACTAACTCTGGGCACTCCTCCTGGCTGCTCTGAAAGCAAAATTAGCAAATACAATTAGCTCCAACACATTTAAGTATGTCCCCTTTCCTTACTTTCTCCAAAGCTATACAAACCTTTGTGACTTTGTGTATATTTTGCCTATAAAAAATGCTTACACTTTGTTGCTTTCTCCTCCCTTCCTGCTACCTTAAACAGCCTTTTGATGATTCCTTCAAGGTACTAGCATTCAAATATTTTGGAATATGTCAGGGAAAAGCCTCATTCTTGTTCTGTCTCTCTCCACCCCCTTCCCACACATGATTTGTCCCAATCTTCCACCTCTCCAGGGTTGGCTCTATTTCTGTTCAAATTATCTTTAAAAAGCTTCCATAGCACTCTTTCATGTCTTATTTTTAGTGCTGTTTTTTAATGCAGATTCCCACAACTGTATTTATTACTGAAATTTTATTCCATGAGGCTCACCATGGACTCCCAGGAATATGCTTCCCTAAATCACCATACAGATCTTAAGTTCATATTTTGTCACAACGAATGGGACAGATGTGCTAATTGTATTCTCTTTTCTTCACTGATGGGAAGTAGGATCATAAAAAATAAATATGTATGCACAAATAGAAACAGAACAAATATGCTGCTTATGTATAATAATCACGTTTGAATAATTAACCAACCCCAGCTAGTTTCTGCATAATTCTCTTAACCACTGAAGAAGCAAGGAAAAAAATTTGCCTTGATTTCAAGAGAAAGTAGAAATCCCACAGTATTAGTACTTTGTATAAGATCAAGATGGGTCATTTCAATCAAGAGTACAGGAACAACTGGCATTTGCATTGGAAAGCTCCTCTACATCCATGCCATACTTGCATTTGATCCTTGGGTAACCCTGATAGGTATTTGCTCAACCCATGACCCCTGAAATCAATCAAATCATCTATGGAAACCAGCTGAGATAACATCCTCTGGATGATTATTTGCCACTATTTATGCATCTGTCTGTTTGCCTATCAGATCTATTGCTCTTTGTTTGCATTATCCTCTATTGAAGATTTTCTAGTCTCCAACACTGAAGTCTAATTCTGGAGCACTGATTTATTTTGATGACCCATGTGGATTTCCTTTTCTGGCTTTCTGCATCACCCTAATTTCAACTCTGCACACTTCTTTAAATTTGATGTGTTCTGACTCTGGCAAGAATCACATTGTGCTTTAGCCTTCATTGCATAGAACTTGCAGACTAGACTAACTACCATAATTACCCTCCAGAAGGATCAGAGGTTGTATCTAGACATGAGCATGCTTATCATCATGATTTTGGAGGAGGTGCAATTACTCTGCATGACTAGATCAACAGAGGTTGTTGGTTATAGTGGGGTGGCAGAAAAGAATACTAAAAGAGGAAGTCTAGCTCCTAAGGTTTGGCAAATCATTTGTTTGGATCTTGAAGTTATCAAGATTGGAATATAATTAGTGACAGAGAAAACAATGCATCATGAACTCATAAATCAATAAAGGTTAGTAGACAGAAGCAAGAAGGGAGGCTACCAAATGTTAACTTGTAATGACATGGAGCTCTAAGAATCTGTAAGTTTTGATGGGGGTAGGAAAATACGTAGCCTTGAAACAGCGGTGAAAAGAACCTAGAGGCCATGCGGTATGTATGATATGAAACAAAAATTAGCTTCCACTAAAGGAAAATGGGGAAGACATCTACATACCTGTTAGGGTCATTCTGAGAGGTAGTTGGGAACACAGAAAAAGTTGTTGAATTTAGGCCAACATTTTTAGGAATGCTTTAAGACGACTGAAATCTTGAGTAAGATAATAGTGATTTTGGGTTAAGATGTGGTAACCAGGGGTTCTAAAGCTTCTGGGGATTATTAAAGCTCAATTGTATAAGGCATGATGAAAGTAGCCTGGGTAATCACTTAAAGCCTTGCCAGAGAGTGTGGTCCGTGGACTTCCAGCATTCGTATCACGGGGGAATGAATGGAACTGTAGAACTCCACATCAAAAGTACTGAATTAATGAGCCAACAACTCTGATAATATAGTTTTGGTGAAATGGAGGAGAGTGAAAATGCACAAAAAATGTGAAAATAGATCGGCAGCAAAGAAAATCTAAGCTCTCTGATACCAGGCAGCATTTCTAGAGGTTAAAGAGCTCAGGATGCGGATTCTAGAAATGCATGTGCATGACTCCTAGTTCCCCTAACCTAGATGAATGACCTTGGACAGTTTTATCAAAATTCCTCGTAAGTAAAATGAGACTGCAATTGATACTTATCTAGAAGGTTTATTGTAAGAATCTAATAGCATGATATGAGTAAAATATTAAATAAATATTATCAGTTAATGTGTTTGACTTCTACTTTTCCTTCATCATTCTGCCAAAGACAACCATGTCACAAGAGCCAGAACGAGTCAGCCCCGTTCACCTTGATATCCAAATAGGGGCTGGATTCATATTCTAAGAATAGTGTTCCTGAACTTGGTTACTCTACTCCTTTTCTAAAGGGGCACAGATGGAGAACCATGGGATCTAGGAGCTAAGGTTGAACTTCAGAAAGGTAAAGACACAAATGATGTCTATTTCAAGATTGAAGACTAAGCATATTCCTTTACTTCTTATCCCACAATCTCACAGAAAATCTAACAGATATGAGCGATGTGTAGTTCTTGATAGTGTGGGAGATAATCAGACAAAAACTTTGAGAAAAATCAGAAAACCAGGAGATTTGATTAATTATAAAAATCAGAGTAAAGGAAAAAAGCACTAGACAAAATAAATACAGGAGAAAAACACACAGAAAATGAACACTCCAAGCTCAGGGGCAAGTACAGGTTCTAGAGAAGATAATTGCTTCCCCAATCAACATATAGCTTTGAAGTAATCCCAATTAATAACCCTAATAGATTGCTTTATGGAAACGAATGTATTATAGAACATTTAGAATTCTGTCTGCACAATTAACTGCCTTTGAAAAGCTTGTAATGTTGAAAACACTTTCTATCCTCAGGAGTGTGTCTGTGACAAATAGGATAGGTCTTCCAGGGAAGCTCTTAAACCAAGTGCGGTTGACGAAGGCAAGGTGGGAAGGAAACATTACATAGGCTTTCAGTTTTAAAGAGGAAAGCAAGGTACCATGACTTCAAAACTTCATAAATAAAAATAATGAGTGGAAAGGGAGGATTCTAACAAGGTACCTCTCTCCAGATTTAAATGTGCGAAAGTGCTCAACCCCTGCCCTCACTGCAAATTAAAGATTTTTGAGTTTGGCATCTTTATTAGTCCATTCTCACTTTGCTGTAGAGAAATACCCGAGACTTGGTAATTTATAAAGAAAATAGTTTTTAATTGACTCACAGATCTACATGGCTGGAAAGGCCTCAGAAAACTTACAATCATGGCAGAAGGTGCCAATTTACAGGGCAGCAGGAAAGAGAACGGGTGCCAGCAGGGGAAATGCCAGATGCTTACTAAACCATCATATCCCTTGGGAACTCACTGGATATCATGAGAACAGCATGGGGAAACCAGCCCCCATGATTCAATTACCTCCCACTGGGTCCCTCCCACAACACATGGGGATTATGGGGATTACAATTCTGGATGAGATTTGGGTGGGGATACTGCCAAACCATATCAGCATCTAAGACATTTTCCAGACTCCTTCTTGACTTTATACCCTAAAGGGAGTTCTTTTCTGCATGCCTACCTGACTTCAAACTATACTACAAGGCTACAGTAACCAAAACAGCATGGTACTGGTACCAAAACAGAGATAATAGACCAATGGAACAGAAGAGAGCCCTCAGAAATAATACCACACGTCTACAACCATCTGATCTTTGACAAACCTGACAAAAACAAGAAATGGGGAAAGGATTCCCTATTTAATAAATGGTGCTGGGAAAACTGGCTAGCCATATGTAGAAAACTGAAACTGGATCCCTTCCTTACACCTTCTACAAAAATTAATTCAAGATGGATTAAAGACTTAAATGTTAGACCTAAAACCATAAAAACCCTAGAAGAAAACTTAGGCAACACCACTCAGGACATAGGCATGGGCAAGGACTTCATGTCTAAACACCAAAAGCAAGGGCAACAAAAGCCAAAATTGACAAATGGGATCTAATTAAACTAAAGAGCTTCTGCACAGCAAAAGAAACTACCATCAGAGTGAACAGGCAACCTACAAAATGGGAGAAAATTTTTGCAATCTACTCATCTGACAAAGGGCTAATATCCAGAATCTACAAAGAACTCAAACAAATTTACAAGAAAACAACAAACAACCCCATCAACAAGTGGGCGAAGGATATGAACAGACACTTCTCAAAAGAAGACATTTATGCAGCCAACAGACACATGAAAAAATGCTCATCATCACTGGCCATCAGAGAAATGCAAATCAAAACCACAATGAGATATCATCTCACACCAGTTAGAATGGCGATCATTAAAAAGTCAGGAAACAACAGGTGCTGGAGAGGATGTGGAGAAATAGGAACACTTTTACACTGTTGGTGGGACTGTAAACTAGTTCAACCATTGTGGAAGACAGTGTGGTGATTCCTCAAGGATCTAGAACTAGAAATACCATTTGACCCAGCAATCCCATTACTGGGTTTATACCCAAAGGATTATAAATCATGCTGCTATAAAGACACATGCACACGTATGTTTACTGGGGCACTATTCACAAGAGCAAAGACTTGGAACCAACCCAAATGTCCATCAATGATAGACTGGATTAAGAAAATGTGGCACATATACACCATGGAATACTATGCAGCCATAAAAAATGATGAGTTCATGTCCTTTGTAGGGACGTGGATGAAGCTGGAAACCATCATTCTCAGCAAACTATCACAAGCACAAAAAACCAAACACCACATGTTCTCACTCGTAGGTGGGAATTGAACAATGAGAACACTTGGACACAGGAAGGGGAACATCACATACTGGGGACTGTTTTGGGGTGGGGGAAGGGGGCAGGGATAGCATTAGGAAATATACCTAATATAAATGATGAGTTAATGGGTGCAGCACACCAGCATGGCACATGTATACCTATGTAACAAACCTGCACGTTGTGCACATGTACCCTAGAACTTAAAGTATTAAAAAAAAAAAAAAAAACTACCCAGAACCCAAAGTCAACCTACAAATTGAGGAACTAAGCCTAATGAGACACGTTTGGCAAAAACTTCTCAGCTAATCCAACTTGGCCTTTGTTCATAAATACAAGGAATCAAGCATTCCCAGGCATTCAAATAAAATTCAAGGTATTAAAAAATAGTAATCCCTGACCATAGAGGAAACATATAAAGAAAAAAAGAATAAAATTGTATAATCACATGCTATGCACAAAAGTATAAAGTGTTTATTTTATTCAGCACACAAAAATGAACTGCAATAAAAAATAGCAATAAAGAACAAAAGAGAATTATTGCGAATTGAACATTTGCTACTTCCTGTAATATATGCCTATGGAAAAACTTAAATTACCAAGAAAATAATTATTATAATAAACAAAAGACCAGCATATGGCAATTTAAAAAATCATATTTAAACATAAGTCAAAATAATATTTGTCAAGACAGACAAATAATAAAGAATTTTTATCTATCAGATAAAATAACAAAAAGATGAGATCTCAGGAAAACTCATTCTATGTATAAAGAATTAGTATATCATAATAGTGAAATTTCAAATCAGTAAAGAAAATTTGAAATATCTAAAGATATAAAATAAGTCATTGAACATTTGGCAAAATAAAGGCTTTATATCCATAAATAATATCATACAATGGTAAATTCATATATGGAATAAAGATCTAAACAAGATAAAACTAAACTAATAATTACATATAAAGGAGAAAGTATTAGAGAGCATGTTTATTATTTTGAAGGGGAAACAATTCTATGCCAGTCAAGAAACCAAGAACCTATAAATTTTAGATTGTCAGCCTTGACAAAATAAAAACTTAATTTTTAGGTTTTTATTTTAAAACTAAACCATTTTAAAAGTTAAAGGACAAGTAACAGATTGGGAGAATGTTTTTTGAAAAACACGTAGTAGGAAAATTATGTATCTCTAGATAAACAGAAAAGACTCCTAATATTAACAATGACAACTTAGATAACAGATATAAAAATGTAATTCACAAAAAGAGCACAAATGATGATACAAGTATAGATATGTTCTCAATCTCCTGTGTAAACAGAGAAGTGAATATTTACATCCCAGTGACTTAAATTTGTTCACCTATCACTGTCACACAATGGCTGCTCCAAGCAGTTGATGAGGTGTCCTGAGGTAATCCAACTCTGTATGGGGCCGCAATGACCCTCAGATGAGTGAGCAGAAGAGCTATATAAAAGCAATGTGTAGCCCATTGGTTCTCAACCTTGAGTGTGCAATACAGTCACCTGCAGGCTTAATAAAAATTCACAGTTCTGGACCTCACCCCCAGAGTTCTGATTCAGTTGGTCTGGTACAAGGCCTATACATTTGCAGATTTAACCAGTTCCCAGGTGATACTGGTGTTGCTCATCATGGGATCACCTTTTGGGAACCACTAGTGCCATCAGATGAGGAAATCTTATGATGGTAACTACTGTTCTCCTCTCTAACAAGAAGGAGACAGACTTCCTTTTCCTCAGTGTGTTTCAAAAAGCCTGCAATGTAGAATATTTAGAAGGCTATACAGAAACCCTTCACTAAGGTTATCTCTGGGGAACAGGAATGGAGGGTAGGGAAATGGAAAATAGAATACAAATCTTGTAACCTCATTGAAGTTCTTCATTTAATCCTATAACCCCAAAGGCATCAGGACATGATGTAAGACCAGCTCTTTGAAATCCTTTTAAAACAATTCTTTCTTTCAAAGTTCTCTTCCTTAGCTGTACTAAGTCAGGGTCCCAGATGGACACAGAATTTATTCCAGATGTTTCAAATAAAGAGGCTTTCATGAAGGGACTATTTACAGAGGGGTGGGTAGAGTTCAGGGAATGAAAAGAAATGATGAAACGCTCAGACCTAATAGATAGTGGGAAGCCTGACAGCTGAAAGCACCAGGGTAAGAGACTGGCTGTGGAGCTCCACCTGAGAGTTAGATCTGGGAACTGTAATAGTTCCAGCTCCTGCTGGAGATAGAGCAGAAAAACCTAACCTCTCTCCTCTCCTGACCTTTGATTTCCTGTAGGTAATTTCTAATGGTCAAGCCCAGAGTGTTCAGGTGATACAGTCCATTGCGGTCAGCCTCCCTCCTTGCAAAGAGTAAGACAAGGAAGGGTGGTATATAGATCTGGGTTGGAAAACAGAATCAGCAGGAGAGTCACCCTTTTGCTCCAACAGTACTCAGTTCAGCACCTGCTCTCTGTCTCTCTCTTTCTGTCTAACTCCCTCTCTCTCCCTCTCTCTCTCCCTCTCTTCTGTTATGTAGATAAGCCAGGGATCAGGCTACCAGAAAAAAACTCGTGCTATGAACAAATTGCCTGCATACTGCTATTCTGGCGTTTAGCTCACTGAGTTTCAGATAAAGTTGTCTATCTCTATTTCTGTTCCCAGATTCTGAAAACTTTGAAAGCATTCTTTTGTACACTCTGCAGTACCTGTCATCAATAGCAGAAACTGAATGTGTGTTACTTGCAAGAATAAACAAAAACAAATAAATGAAAGCCATGTAAAATATCCATAATTTACCTGTTCGTTTTTTAATTCTTTCATTGATTGTGATTTTCATCAAATAAAGATGAATATGAGTGTCTTGACCCATGATTTTTGCTTGGGTTACTTCGTGCAATTCATTTATCTAACAATAGGACTCATTGTCAAGCTTGAAAAATTATCCTTTGCAAATAGAGATTAATTAATAAGCAAGAACCTAAAGACAACTTTTGTTTAACACAATAGCTGTTTGTAGTATATACCCTGTGGCAAAGAGGAAGCTGTAATTCTTTCTAAGCTATTAATGTAGATGACTTCTGTCCAATAGAACTTTCAGCAGTGATAAAAATGTTTCCTACCTGCACCATCCAATATGGTAGCCATTGTGCACATGTGATTATTCAATGTATGAAATATGGCTGGTGCATTTAAGAAACTGATATTTTTAACTTTATTTAATTATAATTAATTTTAATTTTCATGCTATGAGATAACAATATGGTGTCAGTGGCTACCATGTTGGACTGGTTAGTTATAGACAAAGTATCACCTAGAAAACAGTGAATGTCCGATTCTTATTTGCTCCGCAATTGAGAAAATGATGCTACTAATATATGACTTGGGTTTGTCTCTACTTTTCTCCTGTCATTTAAAAGCAGAGCAGCACAACTTCTTGAAAGTAAAATGTGTGTTAGCTTCACTCCCATGCTAACAATATGGGATTGCCCTTAATCTGAGTCAGGAGGAATTTTTTGAAGTGGAGACAGTGATAGCATAGGGCCTACCACACTCTTTTTTTTTTTTTCTCTTTCTGTTTGAGGGTACTCTTTTACTATTTAATAAAAACCTCAGATTCTTTATTTAGACTTCTTCCTTCAGAATAAGATGGAAATAGATTTAAATCTCAGCTTCATTTTGTAATATCATGTTCATTTGTCAGTTTACTCCACCTTCGTGAGCCTCCACTTTCTGCCATGTAAGATCATGATGCTAACTCTTACCTGCTAGTGACATTGAACAAATTGAACAATATTGTGTATACGAAATTTCTGTCATATTAGACCTCCAATAAATGTGATGTCTTTTTGTTGGAACCCATTCTTGGGAAGATCTGAGGAACTTTCAGTAAGACAATTGCCTCTCTCAGAGACATTTTCCTGTGATCCCAGGTAAGAAAATTAACCTTTGGAAAGCAGGTTCTTTAAGGGTAATATTGCTACTTTTCTGGGATGATTTCTGGATTAGGAGTAGCATATGTAATGTCCCTTGGACTTAGTAAATACTCAAAAGTAACTAAAAAAGTGTTGATGTCTTACAATAATGACATTCTTAAGAACAAATTCAGTTAATAAGGGCTAGCATTGACTTCAAACCACCAAGGCTTTCCTGCCCCTTCCAGAAAAATAGACCAATTTCACTTCTGGAAAGTGGCTAAAATGAGGGAGGCGAGAATTTATTGCTACCTGTCCTCTTACTTCCTCCTTCTTTTCCAGCTCCCTTTCTTTTTCCCCTCACTAAATAAACAAGGAAACCCATTCTTTCGCCTTCTACTCTCCTTTACTCTGAAGTTTAGATCAATAGTCTTTTATATGTAGCAGTTTCTTATTGAGCTCAAAAGTATTTTTGACCCATTCTTTGACCCATGTGTGGACAAAGACTGTGTGTGAAAGGAAGGAGGATGGAGAGAAAATAGACTATAAAGAGGTGGGAGCAGAGGACTTCCTAATGGAAAGTTGGAGCAAAAACCAGTCAACACTGTTATGAACCCCAAAGAACACAGTGTATTTTTCCCTATAAAGGGAAGTCTCAGCTTAGCACTGAGAAATGATGCTTTTCAGAGGTGATGGGAACACTCAGAAATCCTCATCACAGCTACAGAGCAAACTGCTCCTAAAATGTGAGAGAGCAGGCTCCACACATTTAAAATGAGTGCAGTCTACATTTCATTCCAAAAACGTCTGGGGCTCTCTAATGTGTGCTAATTTGAATACTAGGTAAAGGAGTTACACAGTTTATTTGAACAAAACTCACAGTTATGTAGGGAAGATACATACATAGATAACGGCTTACAAAAGTGTGATCTGGACCCAATTATTCTACAAGAAGAAAAAGAAAAAGAAAGCCTCATGGCTCTGAGGAAACAGTGCCTGGACCTATTGTTTAAGCTCAACATAAAAATACTGGTAGCTACATAGAAATGTATAAAAAAGGAAATAAAAGCCATTCATAAGTCCTTCCCAGTGGTACCATATCAGTTTGTTAGGGCTTCCATAAAAAAAAAAATACAAAATATCACAGCGTGGCTTCACAACAGAAGTTTATTTTTGACAATTCTGGAGGCTAGAAGCCTGAGATCAAGGTGTCAGCAGAATTAGTTTCTTCTGAGACCTCTCCCCTTGACTTGTAGATGGCCATCTTCTCCTCATGTCTTCACATGGCCTTTTCCTTAGGTGTTTGTGTCCTGATCTCCTCTTCTCCAGTCTAATTAGATTAGGGCCCACCCACATGACTTCATTTAAAATCAATTACCTCTTTAAAGACCTTATCTCAAAATAGTACCATTCTGAGGTACTAGGGGTTGGAACTTGCACATATGCATCTGAGGGGGACACAATGCTGCCTGTAACAGGTACATACCTTAATATTTCGATATATACCTTATTTAATATTTGCATAAATGTATATTTAAAATGTATAGACACATAAGCAAAACTTGGATTAAAATATCTGTAATACCAAACTATTTTCCTGTAATATTATATGTCAATATTTCCACATATTTTCAAATATTATGTGAAAACATGAATTTTGATGGCTGTATACTTTCCTGTCATGTATCCACATCTTTCCTCTATTGAAAATTTAAATTGTACCTGCTTTTTCAAATTATAAATACTACTATAGTAAAAATACTGGTATAAAAAAGCTCTTGATAGCAACTGTGAGGAAAGATTCCTAAAATTAAGATGATTGGGTCAAAGGTACACATACTTTAAAGGGTTTTTTATAGCTATTTTCAAATTATTTTCTAGAAAGGACATACAATTTCATGTACTTACTGGTTGTACATATCAATGTTGGTTTCAATGTTTGATTTAGAAATACAACATGAAAACACAGCTATAATGGAAATATCTATGTAGTTTTAAGAGAAGAACTATAGTAAGTAGGTATATTCACCAGGGAAGGGTACAGTAGGTTGACTAATACAGGGAGCCTCTGTCCTAACAAATTCAACAAGGTACAACACTGATTCTCAATGTGGCTAAGTCATTTGTTACATATAACATAGATTATAAATAGTCGAGCTCAGATTAGAACGTGGGTCTCCATATTATGAGGTGATATTTTGTTGTACTCAGCTCTTGATCTCAGAGAGCTAACTTGGATCCATTACTCTGGCTTCTTTGGATTGCGTATCCAAACTTACTCTCTTCAGTTGCCTTGGATAGGAATTTGTGCTCCAGATACATCTCTCTAGAACCTGAGCTGTACTCTTAGCACAGCTCTGGTCCTGCCCAAAGTAGGTGAGGGTATCTCAGGGGAAGGAATGATTGTACAGCATTCTTGAATATATGTTGAAGTTATCATATACTCAAAGGAAAAACTCTCAATGTATATGGGCAAGGCCAATTTTTGGAATTTAATTTAAAAGTAAAAGTGAGAGTTCAGTGTAGGTTTGCCAATCTCCTTGTTATAATATATACAACCCAAAAGTTATGAAATCATTTGACTCTCTGTAAGATCGGAAAGATATCCAGACATCCTATACCTGCATACAGGCAAGAAACATACTATGAGAAGTAAAATTGGACCTATCCCAGCCTAAAGAAATATTAATTTTATTTAAATTTTGAAAGCATTATATACACGAAGCTCAACCTAACCTCAGAACTCATCAGTAAATGATTAAAATAAGTTCTGTATGTATATATTTTCCTCCAACAAAATTAAGGATGTAAATATGTAGGGTTATTCTGAGAATAATTTTGTTTCATTCATTAATTCATTCAGCAAGCCTTAACAAAATATAGATATTAATCCAGCTATATTTTAGCGCAATTATTATCAGGATGATTAAGATGTTGTCACTGCCTTCAGGTAAAAGATAGCTGTTGCTGTCATGGAAATCAAAGAAATCATGAGTGAACAAGGTGAGAAGAGCAGTAATAGAAATGATAGAATCATAGAGTGATTCATTCTTTTTGGAATTTTTGTTTTCAGCTCCATGAAGGACAAGATAAATGTCATATCTTTTTTCAGATGTATCCCCAGCACCTGGCACAGTGTTCACTCACTAGGTTAAAATAAAATGATTAAATAATTAAACACGTGAAGTGCTTGATCAACAAATGAAATCCATCTTTAATTAATAAATAACATTCGGTTATCATTAGCTCATCATAGTAGCTGTCTCAGAAGACTACATTTACCCAATGACTGTAGAAAGTTTTCTCAATACCTTAGAAAGGTCAATATTCAATTTTCAATTTTTGTGCTATCACAGTTGACCTTTGTACAACACAGATTTGAACTCACCAGTCCACTTATACACAGATTTTTTTTCAACAAAAGTTGAAGTCAAGTGTGCCCACCTCTCCTAACTCCATTTCCACCCCCCACAATTCTTCTACTTCTGCCATCCCTAAGATAACAAAACCAACTTCTCTCTTTCTTCCTTCTCCTTACCCAACTCAACGTAAAGACAATGAGGATGAAGACCTTTATGATTATTCACTTTCACTTAATAAATGTAAATATATTTTCTCTTCCTTATGATTTATATAATAACATTTTCTCTTCTCCATCTTACTGTATTGTAAGAATGCCATATATTATAAATATTCCATACAAAATATATGTTAATCAACTGTTTATGTTATCAGTAGGGCTTGTGGCTAACAGTAGGCTATTAATAAAGTTTTGGAGAAGTCAAAGTTATACATAAATTTTCAACTGAATGGAAGGTCTGCGACCCCAACCCCATGTTGTTCAATGATCAACTATAACTTGATTAACTCTTCTTATAGGAATGAAGATTGGAAGTGTACCTGTGTGTTTAGTGTGCAATGCTTGATCAGAGAACTAAACCTTAGATGGCTTACAAACCTTCCTAAACACTACCAGATTCGTATTCTTTTTTTATCCTACCATTTTTTTATCCTTACAATCCTCCCCAGTTTTAAGTTGCCCTTTAAATTGTCCATATCCAACATTAATAATGATGATGTTGATGATGGTGGTCATATTACTAATGAAGACTAACATTTACGGAGTACCTGCCAGGCAGTACGATACCTGCTTTACAGGTATTGTTATTCCTCACATCCAACATATGAAGGAGATGCAATCATTCTCATTTCACATACAGAAAACTAAGAACTAGAGATGTATAGAGACTTGCTTAAAATTAGTGGATGAACTGGGACTTGAACACAGGCAGTTTTACACAAGAGACTCAGCCTTGATCTCACTTCATGGTCCATACACTGACAAATTCATGGTTTAATCTTAATCTTCTAGCCACTGACTCATTCTATTTGACCTACTTGGAGTTTTTAATTGCTTATTTTATTTTTGCTTTTTAAAAAAATTGCTGCAAAGTTATGTACTTTTAATTTCACTAGAATCTGGCACCACAGTTGATAGTTTTGGGCAGCTGCAAGAATTTCTGTTACCTATCTAAAACATTACATACACAAAGCTCAACCCAACCTCAGAACTCAGCAATAAATGCTTATTTTAACCATTTACTGATGAGTTCTGAGGTTGGATGAGCTTTGTATGTTCAGTTAGTTGCATTTCTCTGAAATGCAGTTGAGTTTCTGTGGCAATCCCATACTTCACTTGATGACTTTTATTTTCATTTTTACCATGTCCATCCAATAATGGTAGGGCTGGGAAAAAAGGAGAACTAGCTGGTCTTATATTGCCATTGCATAGTAAAAGACCCCTTATATAACATTTTCTCATTAATATTTATAATAATCTATAAGGTAGGTTTTATTTCCACTTTATCTGTGAAGAAATTAAGGCTAAAAAGTTTAAATAACACGTTCAACCCCACAGAATTAATAATATGAAAGGGTACCCTAGAACTTAAAATATAATAAAAAATATATATATATATAAAAAGGGAGTAGATTCAAATCAGGTCTACCATATTACAAATTTTGGACTCTTTTCCACATCACTTTCACTGGAGATGAACTTCCTCTGTAATCATAGAAACTCACTGGTTTCATTCTCACATTTTTCCATTCATTTGAAATTATATTCCATATATCATCTTGTATTAGGTTAAATCAGATTATGTGGCAGTAAGACATTAACTCAGAATTTTCAATTGTTTAATTAAACCAAGCCTTATTTTTTTTTCATGAGGAATATGGCTATATATGGGAGTTGGGGTAGAAAACTGCTTCACATGACTCCTCAACAGCATCAGCTGATGGAAATTTCCACCACTGAAAATGTCA
This sequence comes from Homo sapiens, assembly GCF_000001405.40. Taxonomy (NCBI): domain Eukaryota; kingdom Metazoa; phylum Chordata; class Mammalia; order Primates; family Hominidae; genus Homo; species Homo sapiens. The sequence continues at coordinate 105,789 of NW_017363818.1, read as the reverse complement.
CTAGTCACTATAGCATAGGAAGAGAGACTTGAGACACTTGGATCTGACATGTTCTTTATTGCATAATTAGCCACGTTACCCCTTCTTTTTTCATAGAGGCTCGGAATATAGAGCAGCATTTGGAATATTTTGATTATCATAATCTCAGCTATACTTCATTCTTGTGGAAATAAAAAAAAAAATCTCTCTACTCTTTTCTTCTCCATCTATAACACACTCACAATCTCCCATTGGGAGGACACAAAAGTCTTAGCCAGTCACTGTGTCACCTCAAAACCTAGGGTCACTGGTATGTACAATAGCCTCTACACCAAAGGTGGTTGAAATTTTTGGTATGAAAGTCTATTAATAAAATATAGCATAAAATTTCACTCTTCCAGTTTTGCACCCAATACAGGGTGCACAATAATCAGTGTCTGATGAAAGCTGGAGCCATGCATCAGTTATAGGTCCAAATCTGCAATGCGACTGGGCACCCATCATATAGAACAGCAAGCCTAAGAGTAGAGGTGAATTTTATATTTGGTCTAGATTCTGCTTTGTAGGAGGAGTCCTCTTATTCATTGTTCTCCCTGGCACTGGGTTCACTGGTCTGGAAGGTTCATTGTTCCTTGCCACATATCCTACAAAAGTGATCATTGGGGTAATCCACACCTTATCCATAGAAGATTGTGACCCAAGATGTTCTAGTCCAAGTTTATTATTTCTTTGTCACTGTCTCAAAAGTTTAGTAGACTTTATATTTATTTGCCTGTCATTTTTAAATGAAAGTAATTAGTACTGCCAGCCTCCCCCCATAACATACAGTTCTTTTGAAAAATTGGTCCAAGTTTGCTATTTGCCTTCTTGACACCAAAACTTTTGTCTGCAATTAATGGTGGGCACATAGAATAGAGACATAGAAAGAAATTTTTAATGTTACTTTTGCCCTGACATATTTAAGTAATCGATATGCTTTTCTGTGCATTATATCCTTAATTTGCTGTTTGTCATGTGGTACATTAATCCACTGAAGGATTTTTATCAACTGTTCTGAAGGTCATGCCATTAATCTAATTTTTTCTAAAGGCCAATATATTGTCATTCAAATTTATTTTTCAACATTACAAGTTCATACATTTTTGGAATTTTTCTATTCTCTTCCATTTTTACTTGCAAATGGTCAATTCCTTCATGAGTTTATCTCTTTCTTTGTAAAATGTCAAACTAAATGCAAAAAAAAAAGACCACAAATAAACACTACTATCATCTTGTTTTCCATTCCTTTCCCCCAGAGCTGTGGTTTATCAGGTATGTTATTTCCCATCTAACTTACTGTGGAGGACATTTTGCCAAATGTTTTGCCATTGCATGACAAACATTACAAAATGTTTTGTTATTGCCTGTCTTTTTTATTAGTGTCATTGACCTCCATCATTTTAAATTTTAAATTTAAATTTTTCTGTGGCCACATCATAGCATTGGTACTAATCTTATTATTAATTAGGACACGCTAGATATAGTGCATTACAAATTAACCTCTAAATGCCAGTGCCTTAATGCAACAAGTGTTCATTTTCCAATCAACATGGGCTGGCCTAATGAATATGCTGCAGGCCCAACACAGTTTGGCATGGGACTTACTCCACATAGGGTCTCAGGAATCTACACTGAGCAGAGCTGCACCATCTGCAATTCAACGTGTCACTCATAGAGGGGAAGAGAAGCCCGGGAACTCATACTTCTATGCTTTAGCCTAAATGGAATGCATGTCACAAGCTTAGAATAAATTGTGAGACTCTGCCTAACTGCATGAGTACTAGAAAACATACAGAACATGTGGAATATTTGGTGAATATTTCTATTCCTGCCACATATGTCTTCTAAATATCCAGAGTCAAGCCTATTACTTGAAACCCCTACTTCTGAAATTTTAGCATCCACAAGGCAAACTGTATCTGCAGAGACTCTTTTACACTACCACCCCTCAAATAGAACATTGTATCATGCAACCTGAAGAAAGTTTGTTTGAGATCCTATGTGTAGAATGGACTTGATTCCTCTTGCACTGAAAAATGCCTTAATAAAAATGAATGGTTTTGCCCATACTGTAACTGTAGTTTAGGTCCATTTGACTAAAGCTTGAGTCCATCTTCGGACATTTTGAAGAATTTCTTCCTTTTAAAGCTGCTATATTTACTGATATTTCCACCCCCTGGGAATCTGCTTCTCTTGTTTATTAGAGCTGCTAAAATGAAAGCTTGCCAACTGATTAATTTTAATAGTTTAGCCAGAAACCTGTGGATAATGTATATTGGCTGCCAAGCTTGAGATAAATTCTGTTGGCTCTGTTGCAAAGATTTTGGCAGAAATAAAGTCTGCCCTTTGCAAAAGAAGCACAGAGGAACTGGAGGGAATGCAATTTCAAAAGCAAGTATGAAGCAAAAGACTGTTTTGTCTTTCTTTGTGACTTCCCACTGCTGTGGGGATCTGATAAACCCATTCAGCAATTCTTTTTTAGACCTTGTATGTTTTATTTTAGCGTTATAGTTAAGGAAGAAATGTAAGCCTTTTGTGTATAGCTGGACCCAATTCAAAGTCAGAAAGACTTCAGAGGCAGCTTGGTGAGGCCAGCTGCAGGTTGTTGTGATTTTTAAAGCGATCTGGACAACTAAACAGCATCTTAAGGCATCAGGAGTTTACCACAGGAGATTCTTATTGAAAGATATCTCACTTTTGGGTGATTTATTCACATTCTACAGGGTTTTCATTTTTTTTTTTTTTTTTTTTTTTTTTTTTTTTCAATGCTGGTTCTTCCTCAAGATGTGCTAAATAATTTTCAGGACCCATTGCAAAATAAAAATGCTAAGCCCCTCATTCAAAAATCAATAAAAACTTGTCATTTGGTGTGTTGAAATATAAAGCCTTTTCCTTTCCTTTATTGTCTCTCTCTTGTGTTTCTTCATGATGTTCTATATTTGCTATTTAATTCTAAGTAAAGAAAAAATAAAATTTTAAATTATTAGATCTTATCATCCATGTTTATATTATGCAAGTCCACTTTTAAACGCAGATATCAGAATATTAAGTTGTATGCTGAAGCACCGTAATTACACAATTCTTATTACATGGCTTATCCCCAGAGAGTCCCTGGAGCTAGTAGAAGAGAAAAACACAAGCCAGATTAAGGAAAGTTGGAAGGAGGAATAGAAGTTACTTCCAGGAATGAAGCAGGCCAGGAAAGCATCCTTTAACACGGGGACACCCATGGAGTGAGCCAGACCCTCACATGTGCCTAGGGTTTTGCCAAATGACACAGGCCATGTGTGCACAAGCTCTGCTTAACAGCTGCCTGGACTACATACCATGCATTAGCCAGGACAGCATCTGAGGAGTCCAGACGGTGACTCCTCTTCCCACAGGCCCACTTCCCCAGCCTGCTGTGCAATGGGCAATTACCAAGGATATTGCAACCTGAGCGTTGGATGCCCTTGGTCTCCACCTATTCACTGCTGAGTTGTCAGCCCAGGGCAGGGATTGTCATCACTATGCTCTACTCTTGCCTCTGGATACCACAGGGCACTTGTGCCTATCCCTAATCTCCCATCTACTATCAGGTTCCCACCTGTGGCAGAAAGTGGCAAGACCAGATTGGGAAAAGGGGGGCCAGGCAGGCTAGAGCACAGGATAAGAGGAGCAGGCAGCTGAGAATTCATCCTGGAGAGAGAGATGGAGGCAATACCATGTGAGCCAAGGCAAGCTCCAGGCTCAAGTGCCATTGTCCCATCAGATTTTGCTTACAAAACAAAATTCAAAGATAAATCTATTAAGATTATTAAGACAGTAAGTGCAGTGCATTAAACTCTAATCACAGGAGCTTCTGAGTGTGAAACCCACTAGCCACGTAACCATGAAGCTGTCCCTGTCCCTCCTTCTTTGGAAGTGGTCTTCTTGCCATCATTTAGTAGTGCTGGAGTGGTGACCAGCCACTGAGCTTGTGCTATTGTGCATGTCAGGATTTAAAGACAAAAGTATTTGTTGACTAAATTGTCTTTTAAAAAATCTGCTACAGAAAGCAACACGTTTTATACATCTTAAGATAGTGGAAAAAATGTAATTTTCTTGCTCCTTTAAAATAGTAATATTTAAAAGATTACTTTTAAAAGATACTTTACTTCATGCTGCAATAAAAATTACGTCTGAAATCTTAGTGGCTTAATATCAAAAGGTTGATTTATTACTCATGATATATACTTACCAGGTGTGGGCAGGAGGCTCTGATCCCATTACATTCAGGGATCCATGCTGGTGGAGGCCACGTTTTTTGTGGCTGTGCCTTCTGGGATGGGGCCTTTGAGGTCACTGTGGCAGGGAAAGAGAGGAATGAGGGTTGCGCGCCAGCATAGAGGGATTCGGCCCACAGAACTTCTGTTTATAGCAAATTACCTAGAACTATTATCTATCAGTAAAGTAGCTCCATCTAACTAAAAGAGTCCTAGAAAATATAGGGAAGCTCATAAATATTTGGTAAACAGAAATTGTCTGTGCTACGTATGGTTTGCAGAGCATTAAATGTCCTATAATTTCATTTTGGGGGTGATGGACTAATTCTGTTTATGCTGGGAGTTTGTTCTAGCTCTCTCTTTTTCTCTTTCAATCTCTCTCAATTTCTTTCCTTCACAATGTGTGACTATTGAAAGGTCTCTTAACTATTCTGAACCAAAATTTCTTCACTGTGAAATAGAAGTAAAAATGTCTGGCTCACACAGGATTATTATTAAATAATAGAATGCCCATGAAAGCACTTTGTAAATCATAAAATGACATTCAAAAATAAAACATTATTGTGTATCAGACTGAAAGGAAACCAAAGAGATATATTTCTCTTTTTCTACACTTCAAAACCCTCCAAATGACATTCAGTATACTGTTTCTTCAATCTCAGAGGCAAATCCCATAATTTTCTATGTGAACACATACTCTGAACTGAGTATGAAAGAAGTTACTTCCTGCACAATCATTCTCGTCTCTACCATTAGATGGCCATGGAACCTAGAAAAGGTATTCAATATACCAGACCTCCATTCTTTCATTCATAATTTAAAGGTGTTAAATCAGGCTAGGGACAATCTAGTCTAATATTTTCGAGACTAGTCACTTACCTCCAAGATGTAACATGAGATGAGCCAAAGAAGTCTCTTCCCATAAGCTCTTCCTCCCACTGGTCCAGTGGCCACTAATGTGAGTCTCTCCTCTGCACACAAACACAGAGGCGATTGATATAGAGTAATTTATCTGAGAGTGAAAGAAACTATACCATTTTTAACAATTGATATCATTAATTTATTTATTCTAGCACACTTATTCAGAACTCTACATTTAGCTTTCTAATGAGAAAGTATTTTAGAAAGGGAAATCATTTGGTTATATCCATGTAACAAACAAAAAATAAGAAATGAAGTGGGTTAAGAATACTGAAACCTTAAGCAAAATCTGATGAAGAGTTAATATTTCCAGAATCTCTACAGATAACATACTTTCATAAAGTGTTTCATGTAACCAAAGATGGTGTATAAGAATTTTTAGAAATGCTATGTTAAAATTATGCCATCTACCTATAGACCTGCTGAATTACCAGAGCGGTATTACCCAGGAAAATGCTCATGCATTTTTGTCATGTTCAATTTCACATTTGAAAAAATGGGCAAACATATGTGGCTTTAATAACAAGGAAAACAGCTTGTTCTTGCTATATCAGTCTAATACATTGATCACCCAGAGAGTTTTTAAGTATATAAATTATTTAAGTGAATATCAAATGATATGGTCACAGGCAGACTTTTAGAAAGTAACAGAAGAGTATCACACAAAAGCAATAGACTTTCTGGGTGGGGAGAGTGGAGTAAAACAAAAATAACCTTTATATATATATATATATATATATATATATATATATATATATATATATATATATAGAAAGTTCAGCAAACCAAGGAAATTCTGAAAAATTCTTTTCCCTAGAAAAACCAACTTCAAATAAAAAAACTTATCATTTGTACTTAAAGTCAAGTGATGGAATTTTACTCTAACCAATATGACTATATTTTACAAAACTTGGAGGAAATATGAACTTCAAACTCTACACTACAAAGATTTGCAGGAACTAGAGTACTTTAAAAGATATTCTGCTAGTGACATCCCAAAATAGTTACACAATGGTCGCAAACAAAATAGTACAACACAACAGAGCATGGAGTATAATCAGTTTTTATGGTGGCAACAAAATGTTCAAATCACTCCTTTCAAGCAATACCAGGTATAAAGCAAGAAATTTAATATATAATTTTTAGATGTCTATATACATTAACAACAGTAGAAATAAAAGGCAACAAACATCAACATTGTGCCATTGTGCCAACATTGTATAAGGTACTTTATACACACTCCTCATTTCATTCTAACAATAATCGGTAATATAATTATGTCTTTAGCATATTTGTCAAGACAAGGCATTAAATGCTTGCTCACAATCACACAGCTAATTAATTCTTGATGCAATATTCAAAGACAAGTCTTTCAAAATTTTGTCATGGTTTCCCTATTATCTCTCTAGGATACTTCTCTACTAAAAATTAATCATTTTAACATTTCTGGTATGATCTTTGTACTTTGAGCAGACATAATTTAATGCAGATGTATCATTTTCTGTTCTGCACCTTTCACTTCAAGACTACATAAATTATTTAATTTATTTCTATTTAGCCTTCAAAGTCAATTTTGGGTCATGTTCCCTTGAGTAGCTGCATCATATAACATACTTAACTATTCTTACACAGATGAATAACCAATAGCTTCCCATTTTCTAAAATTATAGGTGACTATAGTATGAGCAAATTTGTGCATATAATTTTAATTTTCTCTTGGATTAGTCTTCTGTGATTCCTTCCCAGAAGTGGAAATAATGGCCCAGATAATTTTTAATAATCAAATGGCATAAATACATACTAGATTACAGGAAAGTAACAAAATAATAAAGTAATACTTGTGATATTTACTGTTTATTATTGTTGCTTTGTTTTGACTTCTCCCAGTCAAGTAGCCTGATTAGATCGCCTCTGGGTATTAGAGACACGGAGGGAGAAGTGAATTAGACTGTATTAGTTATCAATTATTACGTAACCAATTACCCCAAAACTTAATAACTTAAAACAGCAGCTATATTATCTTACAATTCCTGTTGGTCAGGAATACAATTATAGCTTAGCTGTATTCTTGGCTCGGGGTTCCTCACAGGCTGAATGATGGTGCCAGCTAGGACTGAAGTCTTCCCAAGGCTCAAGTGGGGATGGATCTGTTTCCACACTCACGCATGTAGTTGTTGGCAGAACCCACCTACTCCCTGGCTGTTGGTCTGGAGGCCTCCGTTTTTACAGCAGCTCGTATCACAGCAGCTTGCTTCATCAGAGTGAGTAAATGAGACAAGACAGAGAGATCAAAGCAAAAGTCAGTCTTTTATAACCTAACCTCAGTATGACATCCCATCCCATTTGCTATCTTTAGAGCAATTCTATCCTATTTTATTCTTTTGAAACTAGTCACTAGGTTCAGCCCAAACTCGACAGGAGGGGAATATACAGGATTGTGAATACTATATGGCTGAAATCCTGGGGAGCGTTTTAGAAGCTACTTAATCACACAAACTCTAGTCTACCTTTTTATTCTTCATAAAAGAGCTTGAAGATATGCTTCGCCCCCCACCCCCACCATTCTGTCATCATCTTTGTATAGTCCTTGACTCAAGCCCAGCCATTATAATTCTCTCTTAACTGGTATCTGTTGCTGTTTTCTGTCATCTCTTATCACTTTTTCCATATTTACCATGATCAGAGGAATCTTCTCCAAACTATGGATTTATTACTTTATTCTATTCAAAATTATAATATGTAAAGAGATATTCTAAGTATATTTCAAAAGAGTTATTACATACTGAAGAATTTTCCATATCAATTTTCTTAGCAATTATTTTTTTCTGTGTTAATGTGTAATTCAGCTAAGATCTTTATAAAATTATCTTAATTTCATTTTGAGTATAATAAGAATTAATAAGGTTTTACTAAATCTACAAAAGAGGCTCATGCTTCTACTAAGATGTCTAGCCTAATTTTCTATTCTTTCTTTTATTTCTATCTTTTTTTAAAACCTGGAAAGAGGAAAGAAAAAACTACATATTCGGCACAAATTATTTTCATCTTGTCTACAGGTTAGAAAATGCTGAGCTCACTCCTTTTTGCTAAATGATGTGATTGAAAGTATAAACCTTGAAACCAATTAGAAGTTTATGTCTCACTTCAAGCAAAATCTCCTTCTCATTTCTACCACCCTGATCCTTATTCTCGGTATTCATTATGAGTCCTCTGTGGATCTCTTTATTATGTTTTTCCAAATATGTATGTTTCTCTACATTCATCTGGCAATTAATTTCAGGCAGGGATTTTCAGCAAGAAGAATTATCAGCATGATATTGGAATTAAAAAATATTTGTTGAGCAAATATTCAGTGAATGAGCAAATGAACAAATTTGACATTCATTCTAAATACCTTCTGCTTTGGAAACCAGGACTGTGATGCTTACAAAAAATTATTTGGCATCTCACAAAGCCCCATTGGTTTAATATCAAAAGAAATAATGACTGAAAACACCTATTGCAAAAGAACCAGGTATTAGCATTGAGAGTCAGAAGCCAGCTCACTAGAAGCCAACTCACAAGTCAAATAGATAAACTTCTGTCGAAAGAAAGTGCATCCTACAGAAATAGATCAAGTAATGCATTTTTCAAGAACTGGTTCTGAGCAGTACTTTAATTTTCCAGAGGAATAGATGCTACAAATTTTATTTATTCAGGTACCTACTGCGATCTATACCTCTGGCCCTAGAATAAAAATAGAGTGTGTCCATCTGCCTCAAAGACACAGAGCTTGCTATCTGGAGGGCTAGGAAGGGACTAGAACATTCCAACCCAGGCCTTCAGGATACAGGAAATAACTTCACAATTTCTTTTTTTTTTAATTCAATTTTATTATTATTATACTTTAAGTTTTAGGGTACATGTACACAATGTGCAGGTTTGTTACATATGTATACATGTGCCATGTTGGTGGGTTGCACCCATTAACTCATCATTTAGCATTAGGTATATCTCCTAATGCTATCCCTCACAATTTCTAAAGAGGACAGACTTAAGGGAAGCTTTGAAAGTAGGACATTTCTGATGTTTTTAGAAGTTCCCTAAATCTTTTGACATTAGCATTTCCTAAGAGTGCTGCGATAGTCATATTTCCATTTCGGGTTGTACTCTAACTTTTATTTTGAGTGAATTGGGGTATGGAACACATATCTTGGATAAAAACCCATGAAGCCTAATATATTCACATTTGAAACAACATCCAAAAAGAAAAATCAAGATTTTCACTGCATCTTAGTAATTCAGAAAAAGGAAGTCAGGGAGGTAAGATAATTTATCTCCCTTATGTAACCTTGCCATTCATTACATCATAATGTGTAGAGCACACTTTGGAGAAACTGAAAACAAAATACTGGCCTCAAAAAATGTTGGCATAATGTCACTGTGTCAAAACCAAACCAAACAAACAAAAAGACACAATTCAATTCACATTTTGTTACATTCTATAAAAGGAGGGGTTTTTCAGTGTTAATCAATTTTAGTATATTGGAAAGTCAACATTAGCATATCTGTAACAATTGTGTATTTTTTCATTCAAATAAGTCTTTGATCATGCTTCTGTGGTATTATGTTAATTTTAACTCCCTTAGCATCTCTGAAAGACCATGTTGATGCTGCAATATGCATCCTCTCAATTCAGATCCACGGAGCTCTAATTTCTTCTCATTGCAACCCCTTCACTCAACATACATTTCATAGAACAGCAGATACATAAATGTTGATTAAGTTAATTAAACGTGAGCTAATTAAGAGTCAAAAGATAAATTTAAGCAGAATCCTCTTCAGTAACATATTCCAAATTATCAAAAGGTGGAATTTTTGTTTGTTACATCCACAGAAAAAATGTTTAAAAAGGATATTACCTAGCAATCTTCCTTATAATTATTCTCAGTCTACTGTTATACCAACATTATTACAACTAACTTACATTATTTGCATAATTATCACTCTATAGAGTGTGTTAATAGCTTAGGTATAACTTTGACATATACATCTCATTTCATCATGTTAATACTATTCACATAGAGATTAACAGAAAATAGGCTGGGAATGGTGAATCACACCTGTAATCCCAGCGCTTTAGGAGGCCGAGGCAGGTGGATCATTTGAGGTCAGAAGTCTGACACCAGCCTGGCCAACTTGGCAAAACCCTGTCTCTACTGAAAATACAAAAATTAGCCAGGCGAGGTGGCAGGCACCTGTAATCCCAGCTACTTGAAAGGCTAAGGCAGGAGAATTGCTTTAACCCGGGAGGCAGATGTTGCGGTGAGCTGAGATTGTGCCACTGCAGTCCAGCCTGGGCAACAGAGGAAGACTCTGTCTCAGAAAAAAAAAAAAAAAAAAAAAGATTAACAGAAAATATACTTAAATATCTCCCCAAATGCTCTTTGTTTGGGATATATAAATACAGACATATTTAAAACTACGACCAACCTTTCTAACTACCTCTTAGAGATGCTATTTGTGTTAAATCTGAAACAGTCAAAGGAATGTGAGAAATAAGCCTTTCTAAAGACATGTAATATCTTTGTTATCTCCTAGAAATAAATTTAAAATTAAAGTAGAAAACAAACCATAATTCTAGAATTCTGAAAAAGAGAAGTGTAGAGCACCTTCTCATAACATAAAAATTATAAATTAACAACAAATGAATAGCTAGCAGCCTGATGGGAAAATTAATAAATATATATTTAAAAATGTAAAAATTACCATTGGAATGTATGACGATAGTAACACAAAGAAATCAAAGAGTGAAGAATGAAGACATACTGGTTTAATTCTTGCACTGTAAATGGAGTGGTATAATGTTTATTGTAAACTGTAGAACCACAATAAAACAAAACACTCAAAGAGTTATTAGTAGTAAGCCAATGATGGATAAAAAGTGAAATCAAAAGCAGGGAAAAAGCAAAAAAGAAAAAAAAGTGTTGAAAGAAAATATATAAAGTAAACTGTATGGTGCTAGATTCACATTCAGCCATAACAATAATTACTTTAAATGTAAACAGTCTAAGCACTCGAATTCAAAGTCAAGAGTTGTCACATTGAATTAAAAAAAATAAAGACCTGAAAGGATATAAACTCACGTTAGAAAAAATATATACAATATACATATTATCTATATTATATATATTTATGCATACACACTTTATGCACACAATCTGTGTATTTGTGTGTAGAAAGTAAAAGGATCGAAAAACAGCTACTATTTTAAACACTGATTAAAAGAAAGCTTGAGGGCATACGTTAACTCTAGACAATCAGATATTAGAACAAGGAATTATAATCTAGGATAAAGAAGAATACTTCCTAATAATAAAGGGATCAGTTCATCAAGGTGATATAAAAACTCCAAATGTCGCTGGGCGCAGTGGCTCACACCTGTAATCCCAGCACTTTGGGATGCCGAGGTGGGCAGATCACTTGAGGTCAGGAGTTCAAGGCTAGCCTGGCCATATGGGGAAACTCCATCTCTACTAAAAATACAAAAAGTAGCTGGTCATGATGGCACACACCTGTAGTCTCAGATACTTGGGAGGCTGGGGCAGGAGAATAGCTTGAACCTGGGAGGCGGAGGTTGCAGTGAGCCGAGATCGCGCCATTGCACTCTAGCCTGGGAGTTGCAGTTTGACTCCGTCTCAAAAAAAAAAAATAAATAAAAATAAAAATAAAAAAACTCCGAATGTGTATGCGGTCAATGGTAGAGTACAAACTATACAAAATACATTTGTTAAGAAAATAGAAAGTAGATTTAGAAAAACTTGCAATTTTAGTTGGATATTTAACACTCTGAAAAATTAAAGGAGTTTTGTAGAAAAAATAGCATTTTTAAAGAAAGTTCAGAGAAAATCAGTAAAGATACAGAATAACTGAACAATTCTGTCAACCAATTTGACCGATTTGATATTTTAGAACGCTCCATTTAACTATAGCAGAATGTACCTTCTTTTAAAGCATATACAGAACACTTACAAAGATAACCATTTTTGTCATAAAAAGTTTAAATAAATATAAAAGGATTCAAATCATATAAATATGTTCTTTGACTACATCAAACTAACTGAAACTCAATAACAGTATAGTAAATAATATCAGAATAATCCTCCAAATACTTGCAAATTAAACAAAATATTTTTAAACAACTTAAGGATAACATAAGAAAATTCAGTGGAAACTAGAAGATATTTTGAATCCAATGAAAATGAAAATGAAACATATCAAAATCTGTGGAATTTACCTGAAGCAGTGTTTAAAGAAAAATATATAGCATTAAATGTATATTAGAAAAAATAAGTAAGATTTCAAACAAAAGACCTCAAATTCTGTCCTAAGAATCCAAGGAAAGATGATCAAATTATCCCAAAGACATGAAGAAAGAAAGGAATAATAAAGATTTAAAAATTAATGAAATGGGGAATCAAACAGCAATGGAAAAAATCAATGAAGCTAAAAGCTGCTTCTCTGAATAAAAGTCAATATATTCATTATCTTCTAGCAAGAATGACAAAGAAAAAAATGGGATACAACATTATCAGTAATAAAGAAGATATTACTACAATGGACATTAAAATGTGATAAGGAAACATCAAATAAACATCTTAATGCCAAGAAATTTGAATACAGAAAAAAAGAACATATTCCTTCAAAGACACAAACTAATTCTAGGAAAAAAAAATGCACTAGTTAAATAACCGTACATCTATTAAAGAATTTAAATCTACAGTTAAAAATCTTTCACTGGTTAATTCTACTAAATATTTAAGTAGGAAATAATGCTGATTCTTCACAATCTTTTCCAGAAAAGTGAAAAATTAACACTTCCCAACTTATTTTATGAAGCTAGGATTATATTGCTTTCAAAATGAGCAAAGCTTTTACAGCAACTCATGTATCACTGTAAACCACATCCTGCATCCCACTTCACTGTGACTTAACACTGTGTTCATCCATTATCAGGCTGCTAATAAAGACATACCCTAGACTGGGTAATTTATAAAGGAAAGAGGTTTGACTCACAGTTCAGCATAACTGGGGAGGCCTCAGGAAACTTACAATCATGGCAGAAGGGGAAGAAAACATGTCCTTCTTCACATGTTGGCAACAAGGAGAAGTGAAGAACAAAGTGGGGGCAAAGCCCCTTTTAAAACCTTTAGATCTCCTGACAACTCACTATCACGAGAACAGCATGGAAGTAACTGACCCCATGATTCAATTACCTACCACTGGGTCCTCCCATGACACGTGGGGATCATGGGAACTACAGTTTATGATGAGATTTGGGTGGGGACACAGCCAAACATATCACACAGTATCCTGGTATAACTCTACCACTGCATTTATCAAATGTAATTGTATGTTTACTTGCACGTCTCACTAAACTAAAATCAACTTTAAAATAAGCACTATTTATCAGATTCCTCAGCATCTAACACATAATGCATGTTTAAATTAACAAATAAGTGTTGGCCTGGTGCAGTGGCTCACACCTGTAATCCCAGGACTTTGGGAGGCCGAGGTGGGCGGACCATGAGGTCAGGAGTTCAAGACCAGCCTGTCCAATATGGTGAAACCCTGTCTGTACTAAAAATTCAAAAACTAGCCAGGTGTGGTGGCATGCGCCTGTAGTCCAAGCTACTCGGGAGGCTGAGACAGGAGAATCGCTTGAACCTGGGAGGTGGAGGTTGCAGTGAGCTGAGATCATGCCACTGCACTCCAGCCTGGGCAACAGAGCAAGACTCGTCCCAAACAAACAAACAAACAACAACAAAAAAAAATCACAAATAAGTGGATCAAGGGTGTTAGTTTTCTGAGGAAGGAAATTTACTTTCACTTACTCTTTATACCATGTTATCTTCACCATTGACCTGCTACCTTTTTCAAAACTCCACTGAATTTCTCTCTAGTTTCCTAATTAGTTAAGTGTTCAGATGAATTAATATTTACATTTTTCAATCAGACCTCACTGCCTGTCAATAAATGCTTTGTTTTCTGTTGTTTTTCAAATCCAGCAAAATATCTCTCTTCCCTGAGAAGGAAAGATGTTTGTACTTACAGTACCATGGGCAACAACTTTGTTATTTTGTTGCACAGCTTCCTTTACCTACATAAAGATCCTTTTAGAGCAAATAAAGGTCAAATTCATTTTCTCCTTGCTCTCACTGTGTCCTTCTAAGTATAGATTCAAGTCTATTAAAATAGATCTTCTGTTTTGTTGCTCTTGTGCTGTGATTCAAAATGTGCCAGCTATTAATTTCAAAAGCACTGGGAAAACACAAGAGACTTCCTAACTCTCCTTTTTGTCCCGGCAAGATTCTTATAAGTGAGCTTGCTTTGCACAGTGCAGGCCAACTGTCTTACTTGGAGTTGAATACTTCATTACAGAAAGATTCGAGTTCCCCAAAATGACACTGGGGTGGAAAATAATTTAAATGGAAAATCCCCGTAGCTATTTTAATGTAAGGGAGTGCCAAGTGTATGCCAAAAAAAAAGTGGGCTGCTGGCTAACAGATAACAAGTACAATATGTAAATAGGCAGAGAATAAAGGAATAGTTACTAAGACTTGAAATATCAGATTCAAGTAGTTTTTATCGCTTCTCTCTCAAAGACAAAATATCTACTCCCTATTATTGCCCTAGAAAATTAAGTAGTGTTTTGTATCTGTCCTTAGTTTTCATATGTGACCTATTGTCTAATTCTTCAACATTAATTCTGTAATCATTCAGCCCCTGTTCTATGCTAGATACCCTGCCATACATAGGCACACATATACAAAAATCACATTTTCTGCCAAGACCTTGATACAAGTCTTGGTTTTGATCTATAACAAGAGCATCGCTACCTCATTACGAGTAAGAAAAATATCATGGTAATGCCACAACCATTTCTAAAATGGTGGAAAGAAATATAAAAAGCACAAAAATAGGAAATAAGAAATAGGGCCTTAACAGTAACTTGCAATAAAAATAACCATGGGATTATAGGAATGCCTTGTTTTAGAGTGGTCATTGTAATAGTAAAAATGATAGTATCATGAAGGTAAAAGTAATGGTGGCAACAACAGAGGTAGTAAGTTCATACACATCCTAAGCAATTACAAGGTAACAAGTCTTGTGACTAGGGTTTTATGTAAATCAGCATATTTAATTTTTATAACAACACCATCAGACGTATGCTACTATTATCTCCATTTTACAGATGAAGGCGCAAAGTGGAAGAGAGGTTTGAGAAGTTTCCCATGGTTTCACAGCTAGCACCTAGTCAAATTGAGACTGAGAATCAGAGTCTGAGGTTTCCAAAGCCTATCTAAATGGTGTGTAGAGACAGGCAGACTGCTTACACTTAGTCTTTATGACTTGCTACTGAATAAACGGAAGCAACTTCAGGGCTTAGAAATGTTTTTTCTAGAAAGAGCCAGATAATACATATTTTAGGCTTTATGGACCATATGGGCTTTGTCACAAGCACTCATTTCTGCCATTGTAGAGTGAAACCAGCCATAGACAACAGAACAATTTTATTTCCCAAAACAGCCTGACCCTTGACTTACAAGGGTTATTTATTCTGAGCTTCAGATATTTTTGTCATTAAAATAACATGATTCTACATTTCTGGATTGTTGTAATTATTTTAAATATACATGTAAAGAATGTAGTGTGACAAATATTACATGCTCAATACATGATAACTTAAGCTTTCATTGATATTTTATTAATTTCTCTTCTTTTTAAGCTGCAAAATAATCTCTGTATTTTTGCCTTTCAATAAAAAGTTTATCGAAAAACAATGGAAATACCCTCTTTATGTATAAAGCCGAATGTGTGTATGTGAGTATGCATGTGTGCAAAATATGCTGCTATGGGGGGATAAATTAATTCAAATTTTTAGAAAACTTCTCATTCATATAATCTGCAGTTGCTAAAAATGCCAAAATCAGAAAAACACAGACTCTAATCTTACCAAGCTAAACCCTAGTAGGGAAAATGACTTGTGTATAAATACCTATCCAAAATTGTAGAATTTATTTTCTTGTAATACCACTGTAATAGTTACAAGTTGTATTATAAGAAGGGATTTTTTTTTTTGTCTGAGTCTCTTATTATTAGCTTGTGATCTCCTTAACGACTGGGATGGCCTACCTCAGAGTTCAGTATGGAAACTTACTCATAGCATTAAGTGTTTATGTGGAAATGAATAAACAATGTTAGAGAAAGTAGTAAGTCATGTAAGATGGTAAGACAAAAAGTCTCTGATTAGAATGATGCAAGAGAATGTAAATCATCCACCAAATTTTGTTAAATATATGTTCCATGTAGGAGGTGGTTTATAACACAGGTTAAGAACAAGGGAATTTGAGTGAATTTGGCTTGCAGAGCAGCGTTCTAAATATAACCTGGGCTAAACCATTTAAACTGTTTCTTACTTTCTTCTATCATAGAGAAAACTATATGCATTTCACAGAATTGCTGGAAGGGTTGATAAAAAATTATATATTTTTTAACTTTTTAATTTTTTAAAATATTTATTTATTTATTTATTTATTTATTTTGAGATAGAATCTTGCTTTGTCACCCAGGCTGGAGTAAAGTGGCACTGTCTCAGCTCACTGCAAACTCCACCTTTCAGGTTCAAGCGATTCTCCTCCCTCAGCCTCCCGAGTAGCTGGAACTACAGGTGCCCACCACCACGCCCAGCTAATTTTTGTATTTTTAGTATTTTTGTCTTTTTAGTACAGATAGTGTTTCACCATGTTCACCAGGCTGGTCTCAAAACTCCTGACCTCATGCAATCCACTTTGCCTCAGCCTCCCAAAGTGCTGGCATTACAGGCATGAGTCACCACACCTGGACAGAAAATTATATAATTTTTAAATTATTTTTTATTTGAATAGTTATAGTGGTCCAAGAGGTTTTTGGTTACATGAATTGCATAGCGAAGTCTGGGCTTTTGCCCAAATAGTGTGTATTATACCCAATAGGTGATTTTTTTCACCCCTCACCTCCTCCCTACATCCCCTCTTTTGGTTTTCCGTCTCTGAGTTACTTCATTTAGGATAACCGCCTCTAGTTCTATCCAAGTTGCTGCAAAAGACATGATTTCATTCTTTTTTATGGCTTAGTATTCCATGATGTATGTGTGTGTGTCTGTGTTTGTGTACATATGCATATGTATACATATATACACACCACATTTTCTTTATCTACTCATCAGTAGATGGGCATTTAGGTTGATTTCATGTCTTTGCAATTTTGAATTGTGCTGTGATAAACATAGGTGTGCAGGCGTCTTTTTGATATAATGACTTCTTTATAGATATCCTTTGGGTAGATATCCACTAGTGGTATTGCTGGATCGAATTGTAGATATACTTTTAGTTGGGAAATCTCCATGCTATTTTCCACAGAGGTAGTACTAGTTTATATTCCCACCAGCAGTTTATAAGCATTCCCAGTGTCTCTGGGAAAACAGGATAGCCACATGTAGAAGAATGAAACTGAATCCCTATCTCTAACCATATACAAAAATTACCTCGAGATGGATTAAAAACTTAAATCTAAGACCTTAAACCATAAAAATTCTAGAAGAAAACCTAGGAAAAACTCTTCTGGGTATTGACCTAGGCATAAATAATTATATCTAAAGAATGCATATACTGCCCAGCACACTGTGTAATAATGACTAGCATGATAATAATGCTGAAGATTTTGATAATAATGATGATTTTTAACAGTCAGAATAAGACTGGCTGAAAGAAACAATAAGTGTGGGTTAAACAACTATTGGTTTATTTTTCTCACATAAGAAAAATTCCAGAATACAGCTATTGCTGCCATTAATTCAACTGCTCTGCAATGTTGTCAGCGATGAACTAAATGTTTATGTTCCCCCAAAACTTATATGTTGAAATCCCAATTCCTAATCCCAGTGATGGTATTTGGAAATGGAGCCTTTGGGAGGTAACTCGGTTTAGATGACATCATGTGGGTGGAGCCCCTATGATGGGACTGATGTCCTCAAAAAAGGAAGAGGCCAGGTGCAGTGGCTCACACCTGCCATCCCAGCACCTTGGGAGGTCAAGGTGAGCAGATCTCTTGAGCCCTGGAGTTCAAGACCAGCCTGGGCAACATGGTGAAAACCCATTTCCACAAAAAATACAAAAATTAGCCAGGCGTGGTAGCGCACGCCTCTTGGTCCCAGCTACTTGGGAGCCTGAGGCTGGAGAATCACCTGAGCTCAGGAAGTCAGGACTTCAGTGAGCCGTGATTATGCCACTGCACTCCAGCCTGTGCGATGGGAGCGAGAGACCCTGTCTCAAAAAGGAAGGGGAAGGAGGAGGTGGAGGAGGAGGATCACTTCAGTCCAGGAGTATGAGGTGTTTGAGGAAGAAACACATGAGATCTGTAGGTGTGTGTGTACACACACCAAGGAAAGGCCCTGTGAGGAAATAATTAGGAAGAGGGCCCTCACCGAGAAACTAATTATTCTGGCATCCGGATCTCTGAAGTCTGTCTTTAGAATCATGAGAAATAAATGTTTCTGGTTTAAGCAACCCAATCTATGGTAATTTGTTATAGCAGCCCAATCTTTCTGGGACAGAGTCATAGGCTCTTTCTATCTGCCATATCTTAGCCTAGCACTACTCGATATGTGGTCCATGGGCAAGCAGCATCAGTATCATCAGAAGTGTGTCGGAAGTGTAAATTTATGGGTAAATTCACCCTAACCTACTGAATCAGAGCCCAGATTCCTAGTTGTTTTTCTTATGCATGTTAGAAGTTGAGAGCCATAGCTTTAGCCAAGTTTTCATCTTCATACTTGCTTCCTCATAGCAGCAAAATGGTGTCTGAAGTTTCAAATACCCTCCTTATGTAGAGAGCAAGTAGAACAAAGGAAGAATAACTATATGCAGTAGGTTTTGTTTTGCTTTGTTTTTCTGGTAATGTATGTAGGAAGGTGCCTCTGAAAAACAGAAAATAATGTGATGAGAAATCACCATTCAACCCAGCAATCTCATTACTGGATATATCCTCAAAGTTAAATAATTCTCTACCACAAAGACACTTGTACTGATATGTTTATTGCAGCACTATTTATTAATACAATAGCAAAGACATGGAATCAACCTAGATGCCCATCAGTGGTAGAATGGATAAAGAAAATATAGTACATACATTCCATTGAATATTACACAGCTACTTAAAAGAATGAAATCATGTCCTTTGCATCAACATGGGTGCGGCTGGAGGCCATTATCCTAAGCATATTAATGCAGAGACAGAAAACAAAACACTGCGTGTTCTCACTTACAAGGGTGAGCTAAACGTTGAGTACACAGGGACATAAAGATGGGAACAACAGACAGTGGAGACTCCAAAAGTGGGGAAAGTGGAGGAAGGCAAGGGCTGAAAAACTTTGTAGTAGGGTACTAAGTTCACTATCTGGGTGACAGGGTCAGTAGAAACCTATATGTCATTACCGTGCAATATATTATTGTAACAGAGTTTCACATGTACCCCCATGAATCTAAAAGAAAAAGAAAAGTAATGAGATGAAAATGGAAACTACTTCAAAGATAGTTGTTGGAGTGTGGATAGGGAAAAAAGGTGAGAGACTGTGATGAAATTCAAGTATCAATAAAAAAAAATTTTGCTCAGAGTAATAATGCCAGTGGCACAAATTATACCCCACTGCTAATAGTGGCCATGTATTCATTGTTATATGGATATTAATAGTGCCACCCTTGTAATCAATTAATGTAATAATAGTTTGGATGCTGATCATTAGAGGGTGGGGACAGCATCAGAATTGTATCTCTAGAAAATAAGCTTAACAGCATTTAAGAAACACTACTGTAAAACTATGTTCTCTTAGCTTGACCATAGAATGAGACTCTCCATGTGGGGTCAAACAGCTGATAGTTGCAGCTTTTTCCTGTGTCCCCAGTTTCATTTTCGCTTAAAAATATATTATTAATGACCACTGTCACCAAGAATATGCAAACAACTTTTTAATGTCACTTAGCATAGTTGAGACAAGATTTTTATTTTATTTTATTTTATCTTATTTTGAGACAGATTCTTACTCTGTAGCCCAGGCTGGAGTGCAGTGGTGTAATCACAGATCACTGAAGTCTTGACCTCCCCGACTCAAGCAATCCTCCAGCCTCAGCTTCCCCAATAGTTGGGACTACATGCACGAACCACCATGCCCAGCTAATTAAAAAAAAAAAAAAAAAATGGAGAGACAGGGCCTATGTGGCCTAGGCTGGTCTTGAACTTCTGGGCTCAAGCAGTCCTCCTTCCTTAGCCTTCCAAAGTGGTGAGATTACAGGCATGAGCCACTGTGCCCAGCCAAGAGACAAGACTTTTAAATAAGACTTAAAAACCTACTAAAGATTTAGAAGGACAGGGCCGGGCACGGTGGCTCACACCTGTAATCCCAGCACTTTGGGAGGATGAAGTGGGTGGATCATGAGGTCAGGAGTTCAAGACCAGCCTGACCAATATGGTGAAACCCTGTCTCTACTAAAAATACAAAAAAAAAAAAAAAAAAAAAATTAGCCAAGCCTTGTGGCAGGTGCCTCTAACCCCAGCTACTTGGTAGGCTGAGGCAGGAGAATCACTTGAATCCGGGAGGCGGAGGTGCCACTGCACTCGACCCTGGGTGACAGAGCGAGACTCCATCTCAAAAAAAAAAAAAAAAGAAAAAAAGTACAAAAATAAATAAAGAATATAAGTGTAACCATATGCTTTCTGGCTTATGTATTGCTAGCTTAGGAAAAGGTATGCTTTAGAGTTTCCTGCCCTGAATTTCCCTGAAGAAACTTCAGGACTCCTTGAAAGCCTGTTCTGTGTGGGAGAACAGAACAGAGTTTACCCTTAAAGGTGTCATGTGTGTGTGTCTTTTCTTCTTCCCTTGCATGTCTCCTGCACAGAACAAGGCCAAGAGATCCTTTTTCGACATGTTTTACCTCCAATTTTTGCTGTCACTCTGGCTGAAGTGCAGTGGCTTGATCATAGCTCACTGCAACCTCAAACTCCTGGCCTCAAGGGATCCTCCCTGCTTCCGCCTCCCGAATAACTGAGACTACAGGTGTGTGCGATTGTGCCTGGCTAAAGCTCACTTTCAGAATTCAAGTTTCCTCTCCTAGGGGCCACTTCATTACTGTATGATGGGTAATGAGAAAGTAAAAACTAACATCAAAAATTTTACTCAGAGTAATAATGCCAGTGGCACAAATTATACCCCACTGCTAATAGCGGCCATGTGTTCATTGTTATATGGATATTAATAGTGCCACCCTTGTCATAAATTAAATTCCCATACATGTGTGCATGTGTGATAAGAGATAAATTATCATGTAGTTTATAATCACGCTTTATTATAAACTATTTCAAATATATGAAAAAGTTCCATGCTTTAATGAATTTTAACATTTTGCCATTTTTACTCCAGGTATTACTAACAATTAAAACCACACCATAGCCCCTTTTGTATACTTTATCCATCTTATATCACCCTTCCTTTCAAACTAACTTGTTACATAACTCTCATTCCCATTAGATTATATCTAAATACACTCCCCTAGATTTGGCCCCAGGATGCCATCCACGGAAGTGGTGTCTCTCTCTAAGACCTGTTCAAAAGAGGTGAAGGTATCTCTTTCTGGCCCATGCTTATGTGAGTATTCAAATGTGTATTAGTTCGTTCAAAATGGATACTACTGTTTTGCTCATATGTAAATGTTAAATAAATGGCATAATTCGTTTCTATCATTCAGTGTATTCATTAGGGTAAAGTAGGCTGGTAAAAAAATAGACTCAGTATTTCAGTAGTTTAACAATTTGTTTATTTCAGACTTGCATAGTAGTCAAGAAAGGGTGTTCATCTCAGTTAGGATGGCTCTCCTCCATAGGGATTATTCACACACAGAGTGACAGTGGCCCTGCCATCTTCTGTATTTGTTTTCTATTGCTGCATAACAAACTAGCACACACTTACTGGCTTAAAATAACACCCATTTTTTAACTCAGAGATCTGGAGGTCCGAAGTGGAGATACAACGTGACTAAATTCTCTGCTCTTTGTTTTCCAATGAGAGAATCAAGGTGTTGGCCTGGCTGTGTTTCTTTCTGGAGGCTCTAGGGATTTTACTTCCAAGCTCATTCAGGAGGATGGCAGAATTCTCTTCCATGCTGAGGAACTGAGATTCCAGTATTTGCTGGCTGTCAGCCAGGTCTTTGTCAGCTCACAGAGGCCACCTTCATTTCTTGCCCCCTCCCTCTTCAAAGCCAGCAACTGATAATATCTCTCAGGTCAAATTCCTCTCAAACTTCAAATCTCCATTAAGAACCCAATTCTTTTTAAGGTTTCATCTGATTAGGTCAGACTGACCAAAGATAATCTTTCTGTCTTAAGGTCAACTGATGTAGTGCCCTAATTACATTGGTAAAAGCTCTTCACAGCAGCACCTATACTGACATTTGATTGAATCACTGGGTCAACACAAGGGGGCAGAAAATCATGTGGGGAATCATTGAATTATGCCTGTCATATTTTCAGTATATGGCTTTCAGAGTTGTCCTGGGTATTAGCCATCCTAGTCAAGGAAAAAAGTATAGAGGTATAGAGGATAATTCATAAGATTTATTTAGTAGGTCAAAATGGGAAGCAGCATATTGCATTGCTGTTTACATTCTACACAAAAATATATAGTCATGTGTTTTATCTAACGTCCAAAGAAGCTTGGATGTGCTTTCTGACATTGTATGCAAGAAGAAAAGTGATTTTGGTGGCTTGAGAGCAATCTCCGTATTCTTCATGAATTTTGAGGTTCTCTCATTCATTCTCTCTCTCAGCTTACTTTCCAGGTCTAGTGATTTTGTGGTAATGTCCACAAAATCACAAGACCCTCTGTCACTACTATTTACATGTAAATCTTGTATGTGACTCTGTGGGGAAAAATAAGTAGAAAGCAGCTTGTTTCAGGATCTATTCAGAGGCTCTTTGTCCTCTGCCTTTATTGGCAGAGATCTTTATATAAACTGCAGCCACAGGCAGTGGTTGACAGGGACCCCCACTCCATCCCCTGCTTTAAGCAGTTGGCCTGACTCAGGACCCCCACTTTGTGCCAGGTATTTTTGTTGTTCTTTTCTGGTAATTTCTCTAGGAGTCATACTCACAGCCTCAGCCCCCTTTCGCTATTTTTGGACTTTGATGTGACCAATACTATAGTTTATCTTCTGGTCACCACTTTCTTTCCATGTACTTTTTGGTCCATGAAGATATTTATCTTAATTTTAAATGTTCTCTTTTCATGTTTTAACTATCATCGGTTTATGCTGAAGAAGAGCTGAAGACTCAACAGTAAATTCACAAATGCCATCTTTACCAGACATATAGGAATAATGATTTTAACATGAGTCCTGTGGGTCTGATTCCATTGTGTATTATTTCTCCTGTATTTGTTTTATGTTCCTGTTTCCTTGGCATTCGTTGAACTACAGATACATAATTTCAATCTCTACCTCTGTTGTCATGTGGCATTCCCCTGTTTAAGTCTGTGTCTTTTATCTTTTTATGAAGACACCATTCTTATTGGATTACAGTCTACTCAAACTAGCAATGATCTAATCTTAACTTCATTACATCTGCAAAGGCTTTGTTTCCAAATAAGATCACGTTCACAGTTACCAGGAGCAAGAACTTCAACATGTCTTTTGGGAAACACAATTCTACTCACAGAACTCTTCATGTGTCTGTTCTTTTGATTGTGAATACCAGAAAATTTATTTGAAAGACTATTAAAATAATTTGAGACCTAGAATGATAGTAATTTCCTCCAGATCAGATTTAATTTGCTTATGAAAAATGACTAAGGATATAATCAATCAAGGATCAACATAATCCAATTTCAGTGTTTAAGACAAGTCAAAACTTGCCTTCAGTTGCTGTGAGGGCTTACTTCACACTTGTGATTCACCCTTGCTCTAAAATTTAACCATTTATAATACAAATCTAAGATGTAGGAGGTTCACTAGGCCTCCAACCCAAGCTTGGTGGATCCAGGGCTCCAATTTTTGTTTGTACATCTTGAGAAACCATCAAAAGTACTGTTCAGCTTCTTACGTTCTTCTCATTTCTTCTAGAGCCAAAAGTTAACCCTAGGGAAAAAGTAGCCATAAAATTCAGGAATTACATCTTTAAGTTTCTCTCTTCGATATTAATTTGTCACCACTTTTCTAATTATCTCATGTCTTCAAGCTATATTTTAAAAATATATTTTGTCTAATTTATTGCTAATTTTTTAGATGAAAGGAAGATTTGTTTAAATTGGTCAATCAATATTCATATATATTTTAATATTTAAATATTCATTATCACATATAGATAAATATTCATGATGTTACCTTGACATACTGTTCTTGTACATTTTACATGTTGAAAGTCCATCAGTTAGGTCAAGGAAAAATATATGTATTATCATAGTAGCAAAATATTGTCATAATTAATTAGGTTGATATATGGGTTTAATTTTATGAATAAAAATAATTACAAAAAACTCTCATATAGCTCAAAAATGGAGACATAATTTGACAGTTAATACAAAGACATAATTTATTACATAATATTAGAAAAACTTTATTATTTTGAACTAGAAGATGTTCATAAGGTATAATTAATAAGAAAAAGTAATGAAAATTTGTGTATATCTTAATCTCAGTCAGTAAATAATTTCTATATATTAGCCTTCATAAAATTAAATTATACATGTATATATATTTAATGACTTAATTAAGTTAAAGACATGAGTATTTTAAGAAAAGCCTTATTAGGGATTCGTAACATCTGGTGAGTATAAAATAAAAGCAAAATGTCAATGTTTATGTCCTTTGCTCACTTTTTAATAGGGTTGTTTGTTTTTGTCTTGTAAATTTGTTTAAGTTCCTTACAGATGCTGGATATTGGACCTTTGTCAGGTGCATAGTTTGCAAAAATTTTCTCCCATTCTATGGGTTGTCTGTTTACTCTGTTGATAATTTCTTTTGCTGTGCAGAAGCTCTTTAGTTTAATTAGACCCCGTATGTCAGTTTTTGCTTTTGTTGCAATTGCTTTTGGCATCTTCATCATGAAATCTTTGCCCATGCCTATGTTCTGAATGGTATTGCCTAGGTTTTCTTCTAGGGTTTTTATAGTTTGGGATTTGGTAGAAGAGTTGCTACCATGCCTATAAAAACTATTCCAAAAAACTAAGGAGGAAGGACAACCCAACTCATTCTATGAGGCTAGCATCATCCTGATACAAAAGAAAGAAAGAAAGAAAGAAAGAAAGAAAACTTCAGGCCAATATCCTTGATCAACACTGATGCAAAAATCCTTGACAAAATACTGGCAAACCAAATCCAGCAGCCCATGAAAAAGCTTATTCACAGTGATCAAGTAGGCTTCATCCCCAGGGTGCAAGGCTAGTTCAACATATGCAAATGAATAAGTGTGATTCATCACCTAAATAGAACTAAAGACAAAAATCACATGATTATCTCAATAGATGCAGAAAAGGCCTTCGATAAAATTCAACATATCTCCATGTTAAAAACTCTCAATAAACTGGGTATTGAAGGAAGATACCTCAAAATAATAAGAGCCATCTATGACAAACCCACAGCCAATATCAAACTGGAAGCATTCCTCTTGAATACCACTGTGAGACAAGGATGCCCTCTCTCACCACTCCTGTTCAACATAGTATTGGCGGTTCTATCAAGGGCAATCAGGCAGGAGAAATAAATAAAGGGCATTCAAATAAGAAAAGAGGAAGTCAACTATATCTTATATAAATACCTAATCTTATATTTTTGATTCAAATATATTAAAGAATAAAAATAGTATGAAATAAAACTATTGAAGAAAGTGATGTAACCTTAAAGAAAAGCATGAAAGCCAACATCTATTTAGAATCACAAATAGGCAGTACAATGATTTTAGAAGTAATCTAGTAGTTGACAGCAGAGCAATTATTGTTTTTGCACCATAATTTCAAACTTACAAAATTTCACCACTAAAATTTCAATATGAAAAGTTTAATAATATTTATATTTGCAGTAATATTTAAGATTTGTTTCTGTATTCTAAAAGTTAATTTTAAGATGGAAATATCAAGGTTCAGCTGACTATTAATTTTAACATTAAGCCATCCAGCATTTAGCTAAAATGCATATTCAGTTGCATGTCAAAATATGTAGTTGTATTTTTAAAACCAGTTTCGCTTTCCTTTCTTTTCCCTTTCACCTTCTGTTGTGCATTGTATGCATTGGTAGTCTTAACTTTAAATTTTAGTCTGTAGATTTTACAATATTGATTCAAGATTACAAAGGCCCAGAAAAGTGCAAGTCCAAAAATCTTGGACTTGATTTTTTTACACTAATTAATAAGAATCAGAATAGTCTATTTTTGAATATAAGAAAATGCATGCATGTGTGTACACATGTGTGCCTGAGTATAGATGAACACTTAGGGCCATATATTTCATATATTTCATCTCACTGCCCATTGATAGAAGCATAGTCCACAGGCCAGGTAATCAGATGCACAAACATAGGATTATCAACCCTAAAAAAGTAAAATAAATATTCAGGCACATTTGAGAAATTATTAATGGCAGCAGCATTCACATTAAGATTGAAATCACTAAAGAGATTTTAGAAATGGTAGGTGGTGGCAGCATAGCTTTGGATACCTTTAACTATCAATATAAAAACAAAGAGGACAACTAAATAGAAATACTAAAAACCTACTGACAACTTATTAAAAAAAAAATTTAAGTGACAAGTCAACCTCCTGAGCTCCAAAGCACAAGTGGTAAAGACAACCAACAGCCATTTTATGTGCATAGTAACCATCTCTGTTTTTAAGAGAGCACGGGGCTGCAATAGGACATCTAATGCACCAGAGAAGAGTGGAATCTCAAAACAGGCAATAAATACTCACTATATAAAATAAGTAATAGGAACTCACAATATAAAAATAAGTAATAGAAAAATATTAATGTCAAATGTTATAACAATTGTCATAAAAGAAAATAGACTACTGAACAAAAAAAACATTTTTATACATAACAAAACACACCAGAAATACTTGCTCAAAGGACAGATCAAAACAATAACTTTTTATATTGACAAATGTTAACAGACATTAAGAAATAGATAGGTATAAACAACATAATTCAGAGTTAGAAGAAAACTCATAAAGCAGATGACAGAACTCACAACATATGTACATACATATTATTTTAAAAATTATTCCAGATATTAATTTGTGATAGGCACCCTCCAAGATGGACTTCAATGACTTTTGTCTTCTAATATTTGTATTTTTCTTTAGTACTCCTTTACATTGACACAGAACTGATCAATAGGGTACTGTGGAAGAGACGACATGTGACTTATGAGGCTAGGCCATAAAAGGTGTTGCATTTTCCATTTAGCCTCTTTGATCTCTTGTTTTGGGAGAAGCTATCTTCTACCTGTTGAGCTCATTCTGTTTGTTAGTACTGTGGAAAGGCCAACACAGAGAGGAGCTGAGACCTCCTGCTAATCGTCTTCATCAGCTTGCCAGCCATATGCATTAGCTACCTTGAAAGTAAATCTTTCATCCTTCAATCAGTTCTTCAAATAACTGCAACCCCATAAGAGTCTCTGAGTCAAACTGCTCAGCCAAGCCATGCCAGAATTCTTGACTCAGAAAAAAATCGTGAGAAATAATTTTTATTGTTAGTTTAAGTCATTAAATTTTGTGACAACTTGTTATGCAGCAGTAGAGAACTAATACAAAGGCTAAATTGCAAGAAACCTAAAAGGGATAAACAAAATGATGTTGCCATAGAAAACATAGAAGGTGCAAAGGATGAAAAATTGAAAAATCAACAAAAAATTAAAAGATAAAAAGCTTCCAAAAATACAAAGTATAAGCAGAAAAGATTCAACTTATAGATGATAAGAGTCTCTGAAAATCAAAGAGAACAGAATATTAAATTATATTTCAAAAATATTTATTACATTAAAAAAGACTTGAGACTACATATCAAACTGGATACTATGTAACCCAGAATGACCAACGTCAAAATATAATATAGCAAAATAATGTAACTTTGAAGAAAAAGAATGATATATAAAACCTCCAAGGTAACTAAGCAAAAAAGTGACTTGTAAGGGAAACAAAATTATATCAAAACATTGTATGCCAGAAGAAAATGAAATAGCATGTTTCAGTTGTTACGAGTATTAAGAGATAGTAAGGAGAGAAAATATGAACCACAGATTTTATATCCAGCTCAACTGACTTTCAAGTGGGAAGGAATAAACTGCTAGTAACATGCAAGGACTCAGGGAAATTTATTCCCATGATCTTTTCTTGAGAAACTTACTAGAAAACATACTTTACTCTCTGGTTCTCAATCCACTCCCTTCTCTCAAGTGGTAATCACTACCTCAATTTTTTATTCCTTGTATTTATTTTACAATTTTTCATCCAGATGTGCATCTTCAAACCCTACAGTTTTTCTTCCATTATCAAAATACATATGTATATGTCTACTAAGTATCTTTTAATTTACAGGTTTCCTCTTCCTCCTTTTCTTGTCCTTAAAATGTATTATTTGAGGATGCGGATCCATTTGAACTATGTGCATGCATGCATGTGTGTGTGTGTGCACGCACACGTGTGTGTGTAATAGGCATTCATTTATGTTAAATTTTGGTTGATACAGCAGGAAAACTGTAATCAAATTACTTTATCAGTTTTGCTTTCCTCATCTGTATAATCAGCTAATAATACTTACCTCAGAAAGGTTTTGACAGAATAAAATTAGGTAATTAAGTACATTATATAGTGTGATGCACAACACTCAGTTCTCAATAAGTAATTGTTAAATTTTTTAAATTACTGACTTGTGAAAGAATGAACATAAAAAATGACATGCAGTTCTTCAAGTGTAGGTGATTGGGAAATTGATGAGGCTGTTGATTTCAAAGAGATGTCAATTTGTGGAGGGAAAAAAGAGAATTCAATTTTACTCATATGAATCCACATTTTGAAAAATATTTAATTGTCAATTATCCTAAGAATATTCTCAGGTAGAATGCAGACTGTAGTTCTTCTTCTCAGATGTCATCTATGTACTAGTGCTAGGATTTTGCACATCTCCAGTGCAAGTGCTCAGGTTCAGTCCTGTCTCCTGGTTCTTGCCACAAGGGGAATTAATTAAAGTGCTTTCTGTGGGTTCATTAACCCACTCATTAACCATGAAACTTTTTTGAGTATTTGCTGTCCCATAAATAGTCACACATAACAGGAGAGGAGTGGACCAGATAACAGAAATTCAGCTAATGGGTATTTTTTTGCCAGTGTCGATGACTATAGAAAGCCAATCAGGGCTTTCTCCCCCATCATACATTCCTACTTCACCATGCACGACTTAATCACCACATGGATATTCTCTCTGTCCATCTTTTAGGTGTGGCCATCTCTCTATATTCTTTTTAATACCTTTAGTATTGTCATTGTTATCTCCAACTGTTGCCTTCTGGAAGGCAGGAATTGTACATGGATTATCCATTACTAATTAACTGAATCTACTACTTACCACTTTGTATTTTGAAAACTTTGTATTACCAAGTGCTACCCAGCTTCTTCCATGGCATGCATTATCAATATAACAAATTACTGCTGAAAATCGTGTAATACTTTGCATTCCAACATAGATCATGAGTAAAATATGACTTTTAATAACTAGTAATTTGCCTACCTGTTCTTTGTCATTAATCACATACCTAGGCCCATTTCCATGTTTGGATCACTCTGAAATTCACCACATTTTGTTTTTGTTCACCATCTTGGAGTTTAAAATATAAAATCATCCTTTCTATTATCTTAATATCTCCTAAGCACTCACTGTATATCTTATTTATCTCCACACCACCTGATCCTTCTCTATCCCTTTCGCTCATCTAGTCAGCATACATAATATTCAAAAGATGTTTACCTAATTGAGTTGTTCTCTCTGTGCTAATACATTTTCCCATTTTAACCTATTATTTGCTCCCCATTTGACATAATGAAAAACAGAAGTCTATGATCAATGACTTTATTATTGGTCATAGTAAGAGTAAGGGACAAAGTCTGATCTACATTATAAGGCTCCAAGTCAGATTTCAGTGCTATTCTCATGACACCAGTCCATATGAATTGCTCAAGGTACACAGCTAGTTTGTAATGCATCTTTCGTTGTTGAAAAAAGATCTGGAAAAATACAGTTTTGTGATTCTACTCTCTCCTTGGGATACAGAGTCTTTCTCTTCTCCTTGAGATAAAATGGGGACTAGGATCAAGCCGAGAAAAGAGTTATTGAACCTAAGAGAGGACCATATTGATGTTCACTTTACTATTCTTTAATTTTTTGAGGTTTTAAAATTGAAAGAAGAGCAAATTATATATTAATATAATTTTTGGTTTTCACCTTATTTCAACCTAATTTCCTATATGGCATATGATTAAAAAGAAAAATCACAAATAAACTTAGAAAGGGTGGTATATTTAACAAATAATTGGGGAAATTAGTGGGTTTCAAAAATTAAATTAGCGCATTATTTTCCACTTTTCAGAAAAACAAAACCTAGAAAACTTTAATGTGAAACTATTCATAAATTACAATACTTCTTGTAAAGATAAATGTCATGGAGATTTTTCTAAGTATAAATATATAAATATATACTTAGAAAATATATATACAAGTAAATATATATATTACTTAGAAAATATACATCTAAGTAAATATATATATAAATATATGCTTAGAAAAATAAATTGATACATTTGACTTCATAAGAATTAGAAATCACATGTGTCAAGAGAGCATTTTATGTCTGTATCACATACCTTCAAGGTTTTTTTATCTTTGCAGACTTGGAATAGAAATCTTGATTCCCAAGTTAAAATACAGGATGTTGGATAGCACAGCTAACAAGGTTTCTACCACTTTTTATGTTGTACATTAGTATTTTACCAAATTGAGTCTTCACACCAATTGCCCGGAGTCATTCACGGGCTTGTGCTAAATATGGATATCTGGGACCCATGCCAGATCTACCAGCTCTTATTTGGATGTAAGTCTGAAATTTGTATTTTTGTCCAATAGCCTGAGTGATTTTTATGAATATCAAACTATCTAGGATAATAATGAGGACAGATTGGCTATTTAATAAATTATAATTGGGTTAATTGAACTAAAACTGTGAATCAAGTAAAGCACTCTCTTCAACATTTTTAATGGCTTCTCTTGGAATAAAGAAAAGCTTATACATTTATTGGCTTGACATGCAAGATACTGCATCAGACCAGGCATGGTGGCTCACACCTGTAATACCATCACTTTGCGAGGCTGAGGTGAGTGGATCACTTGAAGTCAGGAGTTCAAGACCAGCTGGCCAACATGTTGAAACCCCATCTCTACTAAAAATACAAAAATTAGCCGAATGTGGAGGTGCATATCTGTAGTCCCAGCTACTCAGGAGGCTGAGGCAGGAGAATCACTTGAACCCGGGAGGCAGAGGTTTCAGTGAGCCGAGATCGCGCCACTGCACTCCAGCCTGGGTGATAGAGCAAGACTCCATCTCAAAAAAAAAAAAAACATACTGCATCCACAGTCATCAGCTCTTTCAAATCTTTTGCCACTTGTCTCTGCCTGTGTGCTACATACAACTTCCCTATCCTTCACTTCCAACTAAGCATTTTAACCCTCAATGTCCTGACTATTTACATAGTATGTTTGGAACATTTTCCCCTTTTATTTCCTCCTATGTTTTCCTTCTCTATGCAATGTCTTTCTTCAGCATTAACACCCATCCTTCACCACAAGGTCTTTCCAAATCTCATCCAAAGAACAAAACTCTAAATATCAATTCATTCTCAGATCCTACTCTATGATCTCTTAGACTTTGTACCTTTACTAAAGCATGATCACAATTTGACTTGTAAGAATCACTCATATGTCATGAGTCTGTATGAATATGTATCTATAGCTGACCCTTGAACAACACAGGTTTGAACTGTGCATGTCTACTTATATGCAGATCTTCTTTGCCTCTACCACCCCTGAATTGGCAAGACCAACTTCTCCTCTTTCTCTTCCTCCTCAGCCTTGTCAATCTGATGATGAAAAGGTTGAAGATCTTCATGATGATCCACTTCTATTTAATGAATAGTAAATATATTTTCTCTACCTCATTTTTTAAATAGTATTTTATTTTCCCTAGCTTACTTTATTATAATATAGTATATAATATATATACAAAATATATGTTAATTGACTACTTATGTTATTCATAAGGTCAACAGTAAACTATTAGTATTTAAGTTGTGGGGGAGTCAAAAGTTATATGCAGATTTTTTACCATGAGGGGGGCCAATGCCCCAATACCGTGTTGTTGAAGGTTCAACTGCATATGAGTCCCTAAAATTCTAGTCTATGTATTTTAATCTCTAGCTTATCTAATGTGCTGTTTTAATTATCTCAGATGTTCAATATTTGCTTCTTGAGTTGACTATATTAAAAATGTCTGATTTTTTTTTTTTTACCTTTCACATATCATTCTACCAAACTTTCTTTTTCACTACAAAAATTTAGAGAATTTCTTAAGGGACACAATTTCTTTTAGTTTTTATAATAAGTAAATGATTAATTTGTGTCATGAATAGCAGTTACTGTGACATAACCATTACATCTACTATAAAATGCCAAGACCTTGGCTTTTACCCAGAATTAAATGGGCTGTCATTGAAGGCTTTGGGATAAAAGAATGACATGATTTGACGTGTGTTTTAGGAGGATACACTGGCTGTTCTGTTGAGGACAGGCTGAGGGGCAGCAAGGGCTGATGGGAGGAGACCAGTTAGGTAGCTAATGGAATAGTACAGCCTTAAGATGATGGTGACTTGCAACAGGGGTGTTGTAGTGAATGGTGTAAGAAGTGTACAGCTTTTGAATATATTCTGAAGCTAGAACCAACAGGATTTCCCAGTGGATTGGATATCACCTATGTGATAAACAGAGGAGTCAACTTACCGTTTTTTGAACTGGGCAATTGAAAGATGCCCTTGCCACCAACTGAGAAGGGAAAGACTGCAGGTGGCACAGGTTTGCATATGAGAGAGCATGTTTTCCAGAGTTTAGTTTTGACATGTTAAATACTATATTTAAGAAGGCAGTAGACTATATGGGCCTTGAGTTTTAAGAGAGAGGTCTCCCCTGGATATAAATTTGGAAGTCATGGGATAAAGAGGGAAAACTAGCAAGTGAGACTAAGACAAAGCAATTATGATTGATGTAGGATGAGATCTGGGAGAGTATGGCACCTGGAAGCTGATGTAAAAGAAGTGGTCCACCATGATAACTTCTGCTCTTGGGATATGCAAGATAAGTACAAGAGCTAATCAGTAGTTAGAAAATAATGTCTTAGGAAAGTCGCTGCAAACTGGTACTATAAATAAAAGCCCACTAGGAGCCTTTAAAATAAAATAGGAGCTGAAGAATTAGAGATAGTGAATAGGAACAACAATTTAAACATTTTTTTCTATACATAGGAGCAAAGAAATGAGGTGGTAGCTGGCAGGGAAATGAAATCAAGAGAAATTTTGTTTTAGTTTTATTTGGAGATTTGTTTTAAGGTGGGAGAGTCAGCAGCATGTTTATAAGAGAAATGTCTTTTTGTAGCAGAGAGAGATAATGTGAGATAAATGAAGAGTTCCTAAAGTCAAGTTTTTGAGATGTGGTGGGCTAGGTGCTGGTGCACAGGTGGTGAGACTGAATTTATGTAAGGACAAGTATTACTCATCTTGGATAACAGTCAGGAAGGTAGAGTTATGTGACCTCTGGAGAAAAGGTGAAATAGAATGGCAGAGAGTGACAGAGTCATGTGGAGACCTGAAAATAGTAAGGAACTTGGCTGAAGAGCCTGAGGCAGTTTTAAGAAAAATTTCCTAACTGTTACATGAACTGACATTAGGAGTTTAAATGTCAGAGTTCTCTAGAGTCTTCAATCTAAAAAACTCTAAAGCTCTTCACTCTAACAGCTTCCAGAATGTTTCTGCTACCTTCAAATCTGAATGATCAGCTCCATGCTCTACCTCCACTTGGGGTTTTAAAGGACATCTACGCTGTATCTTTCAAGAATCCAGACACAGAATCTGGAAACTCTGGAGGATGAGATGCTAGGCTCTCAGGTCTTTCCCTCAACATTAATTTGCAAGGTGGAAATAGGGGTAGAACCTTCATCCCTGAAGAACCAGTTGTGATATATGTAACAAGACGCACCATGAATTGGAGCAAACCTAGAAGACACAGCCCAGCTATAAATGGAGGGCAGCAGAACTCAGTTGCACTATTTAAGATCATGAATAATCCCAGAGTTCATAGCTCTCTCTGATAAAGTATTGGACAAAGATTCAGTTACAAATCAGATTTCATAACAAATGGATAAATGATAGAATGGATTCAGAAAGAGCAAAGAGTAAGCAATTTCTGTGAAGGCATGAGTTGGGATTCTGCCAGAAGGCAGGTTTTGACAAATAAGAAAGATGTTTCAGAGCTTCTGGGGGTATCATTTGAAGTTCTTTAAATTTACCAAGCTCAGCAGCATTAATTAAACTTAATTAAAATTAGCACATTAAAATTTAAATGCTTGCAGTTTGAAGGCCAATTTGGTTTTTTATAAAATTAAATTTCCCTGTACATAATGATCTTCAACTATAACTTACTCTGAAGAACTCATTTTCTGCAGTTACTGCCATGGTAAGTGCTACTGTGAAATAATGCCCATTCAGAATACCTGAATTTATATACATGGCATATTAAGAAATGCTTGACCAATTCAACTTTTTAAACAAAAAGAAATGGGAAATAAATAATAAATTTAGATCTAAAGACCAGAGTTGGAGTCATAGCTCTGAGATTTATTCAGGGTAAATTTGGGATGAGTAATTAAATTTTTCTGTCCCTTAGCTTCTTTATCTGCTGTAAAGATAAAAAGGGATAATAATTCCTGCCTTTACGTTGTTATTTTCCAGGATTTAATGAGATAAAGTATGTAAATCATCCAACCTTCTCTGGGAGGTTATAGATATTTAATAGATATTAGTTGAACCTGAATCTGAGAATGGCAGCATAGAAATACTTCAATGAAAAAGCTTAAAGTGTACTATTGTATAAGACATTGAGAAAAAACAAAGGAAAAAATTTCCCTAATTTTATGCATTTAAGTGTTTGAGCTTCTGGATAGTTGTATCCATTCCAGAACCTGACATTTTCTCAAGATTAGGTTAAACCCAAACTTCTGAATACTCTGCCAAAACTCCCCTTATCCAAAACCTCCAGTTATTAAAAAGTCACCATTAAGAGTTGTGGGTGCTTAAGCAGACATGGGATTTGGAGTGCAGCTTGTTTAGGAATGCAAGTGAAGAAGGCATGTGGAGGGAAGGAACAGCCAGTGTTTTATGGTTCCATGCTTAAATTTATCAGCAGGAAAACACTTTTCCTGGGTAGCTGAAATGCTTACTAAAAAATGGGATTGGCGATTGCAGTAGAAAAAGTTCAGTTTATCTTTCATGCCACAATATACAAAATCGTACCATATCTGATCAACTAACAACTCTGACTATATTATCTAAAATAAAACTTAAAGAGAGAGGGGAACATATTGAGAATATTGTTACTCCCAAATGATTACAGATCCACCCAACTGTTAAATCCAAGCGAGTAGTCCATTCTCTTGCTATTCTCATTCCTAGAAATATTGGCATGGGTTTTATAGACACAGCATTTTGCAGTGGACTTTGATGGATAAGAAAGAAAGCATTCGGAAAAGTGATCCCAGGGCTCTTTCTGGCTTTTCTCAACTATGTGTTCAAACCCTTAATGGTCAGATTTATTGTAGGGATTGAGAACTTCAAGCTGACATGGTAAAGTGTGAATACATTTCAGTTCGTGCATAATGACGTTGCATATAGTTTACGAGAAGGGTGAAGGATCTACTCCCTCTTGGCCAGAGCAAAGAATAGAAAGATTTGAGGGAGACAGATTTTTATTTGGACTTTGTATTCGTTCCCTAAGGCTTCTATACAAATTACCACCAACTGGGTGACTTAAAACAACACAAATGTATTTTCTCACAATTGTGGAGGTTAGAAGTCTGAAGTCAAGATGCTGGTGGGACTCCTCTGTGTGCACCAGGGGAGAATTCTCACTTGCCCCTTCCAGCTTCTGGTCACTGTAGCTGTTCCATGGCCTCTGGCAGTACAATTCATTTCTACCTCTGTCTTTACAAGCTTCTTCCTTTGTCTTTCTTCTCCTCTGTCTTTTCTGCTTCTGTCTTTTATAAGGACACATTTCATTGGATTTAGGGCCCATCCACTAATTCTAGGATTATCTCATCTCTAGATTTTTAACATAATTACATCTGCAAAGACACCATGTACTAGTCTGTTCTTACACTGCTATAACGAACTGCCCGAGACTGGGTAATTTAGAAAGGAAAGAAGTTTAATTGATTCACAGTTCTGCATGGGTGAAGAGGCCTCAGGAAACTTACAACCATGGTGGAAGGTGAAGGCGAAGCAAGACACCTTCTTCACAAGGCAGCAGGGGGTGATAAATGAATGCAGGAGGAAGTACCAAACACTTATGAAACCATCAGATCTCATGAGAACTCACTATCACAAGAACAACGTGGGGGAAACAGCACCCATGATTCAGTTACCTCTACCTCGTCTCTCCCTTTACACGTGGGGATCATGGAGATTATGGGGATTACAAATCAAGATGAAATTTGGGGTGGGAACACAGCCAAACCATATCACCCCATTTCTAAATAAGCTCACATTCACAGTACTGAGGATAAGGATTTGGACAGAACTCTATTGAGCCACTACTCAATCCACTATAGATTTAAAATTTTCTTTGGCTGAAATAAAACAGAAGTGAATTCAGTCACTGGTAAGAAGAACGAGACAGATTTATGTGTAGGTGCCTTAGAACTAAGATGCTTCAAAACTAACCACTCCTGACTCTACCCACATGGACAGTTGTTCAGCCAAAAAGCTCTTCCTGCACTCCCTTCAAATACAGCAAAAATCTCATAGCAGCTTATAAGCAGTCTTTGCCACCTATTTGTCCCTTTTCTTCTTTTCTCTAACATCCAATACAAAATAACACATCTTTCAAATTGATACACCCTTCCTGGCTTCCTTGTCTTCAAATTTGCATCGGTTGTGTATTCTCATCATTACATTAGTGACAGTGATATGCTTGTGGCCTAATTCAGGTGAAATAATGTTTCCCCAGATCACCACATAAATAGCCATCTATTTTGAAACAAAATGTTTTGTATAATATATCATATAATGCCTGGATGATAAAAGTTATCACCTAAGTTGAAATCAGAAGCAACTTATAAAAAGCATGGCTTTCTGAATGAAATGAAGAAAAGCAAAGTGCTTTGAAAAGACCATAGAACTGGTGTCAGGCATTTCTGGGTCCAAATCCATTTTTTTTCTACTTATTAGCTGAATAATTCTAGACAAAGTTCACCTTACTGGCCTATCTGATTTTTCATTTATAAAATGGATCCGTTAATACCTACTTCATAGTGTTCTGTGAGGGTTATAAAAATACAGTGTCTGGCATACAGCAGGTATGTATAGCAATAATTATCCTAAATAATTCTTTTGGCAAACTCTATATAATAACTGCTATGGAAATTAGCTTTCTTATCTGAAAATCTGAATTTAAGTTGCTCTCAAAAGTCAACAGAATTACTTTGTAAAACTTCCTTTCCTTCTTGTCATTCTTGTAGTTTTGACAATTTTGAGACACATGTACCAGAGAGAATGGCCACCTGTCATTTGTCATTGCTGGCTTTGCATTCTCAGGCCACCATCAAGGATGCTCTAGATGTGAGGATGTCTCATTATAATATGCTCAAGGTTTATTCCAGCTCTCTGATTCTAAATTATTCTGATTGCCCAAGGCAAGTGATCTGACCTCCTCAATGTCTCATACATACTGCCAGTGAAACAATCTTTCCACTAATAATATCTTCTTTTGGTTTTAGTATTGATCAGCATAAACCTCATAATTGTAATTTGTTTTATCCAGATAGATGTCACTTGATCTAATTAGTTTGGAAGGCTTTGATTAGTATCATTATTGATGCCTTAAAACAAATGAAAAAATATTTTGAATGACCAAGCACTTAGTGTCAATGAAGGAATTGGGCCAAAATTTAATAATATGGTTTACTTTGAAAATCATAAATTGTCAATTAGCTTATCTCTGTAGTTATAGGTTTTCCCTAATATCCTAAGCAGTCACAGGAGCTAGGCCACAGTTTGCCCTGGGAAGAGCCAGGATTGGAGATAGAATCAGTAGCAAGGCAGGCAGACCCTTGATTGAACATGAAGAGTGAAAACCAATGAATCAGGATAAAAGAGATTTGCTTGCCTAGGCAATCCACAAGTGGCTTAGCTCATGATATGACTTGCCATGGAAGGCCTTCTACACTGGAAAGAACATGAGATTATTAATTTGACGTGTCCATAGAATAGACCAGGTATCAAAAACGAAAAAGAGAAAAGTTTACTATTGGTAAGGGGAGGATATCTCGTCTAAGAAAAATAACTTTCTATTTGGAGACCCTAGAGATGGGCAACAAGAGGCAGCTTAGCCCATGGATGGCTCTGGATAGGTTATTGGGGGATACTGAGGTCACAGCAGGCAGGAACATAGATATGGGTATTTTGCACCAACCGAATACACCAAGAAAAATGGAGGATAGAGATGCATGGCAGTATTTTATACAGGTACGAATCTAGTTTTCAGGAAGTAATTCATTAAGTTGGGAATTCAGTGTAATATTCAAAATAATTCTGCCATTTATTTAGTTCTTACTGTACATCTTAGATGGAGGATGCAGAA
Organism: Homo sapiens; assembly: GCF_000001405.40. Classification (NCBI taxonomy): domain Eukaryota; kingdom Metazoa; phylum Chordata; class Mammalia; order Primates; family Hominidae; genus Homo; species Homo sapiens. The sequence goes on along the minus strand of NW_017363818.1, from coordinate 66,549 downwards.
GCCAGGATAATCCCTTCAGGCCAGAGAGGCTGAAAGCTGCTTCCATGTGCTCAAATATGAGTGAAATGTGAAATAAGCCTCTATCTATCTTGGTTACTGTTTTAGAGGGAGAAGGGAAGGGAGATATCAGGCATCTATAAAGGCACCTCATGTATTACATGCCTTTAAGAATACTTGTTGAAAAATAGCATCCCCTGAAATGTACTCAGAAATTTTCCTTAGTGATTTTTAATGTTAAAGAAAAAATAGATCTCAGGATGAAGGTGAGAAAAATAGCATCTAATCTCATAGAGTTAGGAACTGAACTTCAATCATTACAGACCAACAGCCTGTCTTCTAGATTTTGGTCATTTCCTACCTATAACAACAAATAACCAATGTCAGGTAGCCAGAGACATGTCTTCTTTACTCTCCTATAGCCACTTAAAACATCTTTTTCCCGCCTTTTTAATTATAGCTAGTTCTATACTGCCTTGCCCCACTTCTTAGAACTAAATGCCCAATGTCAGGTGAAAACTGGTTCAAGGATTAGTAGAAATATTCACCCAGTAGAAATACATACGATGATCCTTTTTTTGTGTGGGGACCAAGGATAGGACCAAAAATAACTTCTAAGATCTTCTAGGAAATATGTAAAGGAAAGTTACCATTTAGATTTGTTTGCCTTTCAGACTTTTTAAAATAACTTTAGTTCAAAGATGAGAGACAGTGAAGTTTTCAATGGGATAGACAAGACACTATCCAGAGAGGCTGGCAATGTCATAGACACCTATAGGCATGCAGTGACTTGTCTCTGAATAAGCCTGGAAAACAGAAGATTCTTGCTCCTGAAATAGCTATTTTTGCTACAGGGGCAAATTTTCCAAACTCTTTTGGCCTCCGTTTCCTAATCTATAAAAGAAGGCAGCTGAACTAGGTAATCTTTATGTTATTTGCCACAATGACACTCTGACACTCAATGAGTGGTTCTTACATGTGTGGTCCTCTCTCTGTTGCACTCTTCATTTTTATTTATTCAACTCTAATTTGAACGTGTTCTCCTCTCTTACTGTGGGAACTCTGTCTTTGGAAGGATGATTGTCTTATGTGAATCAATCTGAAGCTGATTTCTGCAGTGAGCATCTGTTGCCACAGGTAAGAATCTGTGATGAATCTCTGCCTCTCAGACATGTGTGAGTCTGTGTGTGCCAGGCAGGGGAGAGAGGAGGAGAATCACCTGGAAAGACTGAAATGCCCTTAGGAAAAATGGCTAATGCATGCTGGGCTTAAAACCTAGGTGATGGGTTGGTAGGTGCAGCAAACCACCATGGCACACATTTACCTATGTTAACAAACCTGCACATCCTTCACATGTACCCCGGAACTTAAAATAAAAATTAAAAATTAAAAAACAAGAGAAAAAAAGACGGAAATGGTTGAAAAATTATTAAATATCTCCCAGAATCACTCATAAATAGAAAAGCGAAGACACAGACTCAAATACTTGTCAACTGACCAAAGTGTGAAAAAGGAGAAAAAAGTCCTTGTCTCCATGTTCTTCGTCTCCCCCAGAACCAGCCTGTCAGCTGGAGAAGAGAATCGAGGGGAAGTTTGCGCAGGGTTTAGGCTGAGAGGGTGAAGAGAGGGTGCTAGATTCTGTAGTGGGGAAGACAAAGTGATTTTCAAGGGTCAATATTAACATTTAGATGACTAATACAGCTTTGTGTAACTTAGAATAAAAAAGTACTTGAGAAAATCAAGAGTTAAGTTTCAAATAAGCATTGTATGGGGCCTCAGAAAAACTATCAAGGCTGGAATAACTTTTGACTTCTACAAAATGGAAAAAAAAATAGCAGAAAACTTTCCTAAGTGCAGAAAACCTTCCTAAGTACAGCAAGTCTTAAATGATCTTAACAATAGTCAGTATGAATGACACTTTTTCAACCACTAAAAATATCTTTTTCGTGACTCCTTGTACCAGCCATTGCTTGGTGTTGGGAATAAAAATAAGCATACATAGATATGGTCTCTCTCCTCATGACCCTTCTAGTTTAATGAGGAAGACAGATATTGACAAAAATTTAATTTTACATTAAACTTGGATCAGTGCTAAAAATGGAAAAGACAGACTACTGTGAGATCAAGTTGTAGAGAAATGTAACCTAGTAAGCAATATTAGGGATTAATTTCTTAAAAAAATAATGATGAATCGAGACCCGAAGAGCAAATAGTAACTTGAGAGGAGAAGAGGAGCAATCAGTGCTCCATTCAGAAAAACAGCATAGGTTAAAGCTCTGTGGAGGAGGAATAAGGGGGATTGTAGAAGTTGAAGACTAATATACCTGAAATATAATGCAGCTGAAGTGGAGGCATATAGTAGGGGATGAGCAGGAGAGAAATATTACACAATTAGATTACAGAAGTAGGTGAGGGCAAAACATCACAGACTCTTGGGCCATGGTGAGGAACTTGGTCCTTGTCCTAAGACTTATAAGAAGTGTTTTTAACTGAAAGTGGAAGGAATAGGGAAGTTTTGTTTGTTTTGGTTTCTGTTTTGGTGACATGATCAGGTTTACTTTTAAGATAAAATATTTTATTAATAACATGAAATAAAACATATATATTTTTTAAAAATCTCCAGTGTGGAGAACAAAAAGAATATGTGAGAATTATTGTAGACATAGCAATTAGGAAGTAGAAGTGGTAGAAATAAAAAGAAATGCTGGAAAAATGAGAAAGACAACTGGGAGTGAGAATTGCATAACTAGATGTAATAAGGTACCACCCACTGTGACTTTTTTTTTTTTAAAGAGGGGGATACATGGAGAAAACAGTTGGTTCAGCATGGGGCACGCTAATCTTGATGGACTCCTGAAACATTAAAAAGTTTGTCCAAATAGGCTATTGGGAGCTCAGAAGAAATGTCTACCCCAAATATTGCGGTAAAAAAATCTTAGGGTGGTAATACGGTTTGGATGTTGGTTCCCTCCAAATCTCATGTTGAAAATATAATCCCCACTTTTGGAAGTGGGACCTGGTGGGAGGTGTTTGGATCATGGGAACAGATCTTTCATGAATGGCTTGGTGCTATTTTCGTGGTAATGAGTGAGTTTTCCTTCCATGAGTTCACAGGAAAAAGCTGGTTTTTTAAACAGCCTAGCACCTCCTCCCTCTCTCTGTTACTCATGCTTTTTCCATGTGAGTCACCTGATCCCCCTTCACCTTCTGCCATGATTGGAAGCTTCCTGAGGCTTCAGCAGAAGCAGATGTCAGCACCTTTCTTCCTGTACAGCCTGCAGAACTGTGGGTCAGCTAAATCTCTTTTCTTTATAAATTACCCAGCCTCGGGTGTTTCTTTATAGCATTGCAAGAATAGACTAATGCAGGTGGAGAATATCATCTACAAAGAGATCATTGAGTAAGGGGAAAGAGGGCATAGGAGTAAAGCTTGAGGAATTCCATTAATTACTACATAGATGAGGATGAGTCTGCGAAGAAGAATGATAATCAGCCAGAGAAGCAGAATAAAAATCATAATCATGAAGCATCATGGAAATCAAAGGAAAGAGTGTTTTAATAACACTGTCAGAGCTTCTGAAAGATCAAATAATTCAAGTCCTGAAAATTAATGGGGTTAAAGGAGATTAATAGTATGGAAATCACAGGTGGTAGAATGAGAATGGTTTTTAACGGAATGATGAGGGTAGGTATCAGGCTACACTGAATTAAGGATAAAATCACAGTTGAAGAATGGGTATAAAATATAATTATAATAATATACTGTAATAAGAATAAGGGAAATAATATACTGTAATAAGAATAAAGGGAAAATGAGAGAGATGGGGTGGCAATTGAAGATAAATATGAATTTCAGAGAGGGATTTTTATTTTTTATTTGCTTGATTTTTTAATTCTAGAGCTTTAAGGTTATTTATAAGCTGATGTAAAAATTAAGATTATAGAGAGTAATTAAATATACAAGAACATAATTGAAGGGATTTTGTGGCATTAAAAAATTAAGATGAAAGTTGATTATGAGCATAACATGAGATATAACCAGTAAATATCAAAAACAAACAAAACAGGAGCATGTGTTTTAATATAAGGGTGATAGTGGTAGGGACAGGAGGCAGGAAAATTCTGGGCAGAAGAGGGCGGATCCCTGGCAAGGGCTCCATCCTTAAGCTGACAAGCCTGAGACCATGGCCCAAAGTGAGAACTTATATCCTTGTTTTCCCACTTGAATGTTGCTTTTTCCAAAACCACCCATGGCCCCACCCAACCCCATCCTGTGCCTATAAGAACCCCAGACGCATCTGGCAGAGAGGAGAAGCAGCTAAACATTGAAGACTACGGTTGGATACTGGAGAGTAGCAGCTTTACTTCAGCGGGACAGCTTCATGGCATAACTTTGGATAAGAATCCAGTCAGAGATAGTTGGACTTTAGGGGAAGATTACCTTCCCGCCCCATCCCCTTTTCAGCTCCCTTTCCCACTGACAGCCACCTCCATCAGCAGTAAAATCCCCCACATTTACCATCCTTCAATTTGTTCACGTGACCTCATTCCTTCTGGATGCCCAACAAGAACTCAAGAGCCATGAGCGTGGATGTAAATGACGCTTTGCCCTCACTGGCAGAAGGCAGTCACCTCACATGAAAAGGAAGAGGGTCCACTGAGCTGTTAATGCCTAAGCCATCTGCAGATGGCAGAATGACAAGAGCACTGTAACACTGCTTCTGGGGCTTCAGGGAGTTGGAGACACCCCCTGCAAGATGCTGTCACAGGCCCAGCACAGAATTGGCTCCTGCTGGTGCCAAAAAGCACTCGCCCAAGCTCCTGCACCTGCTCACCTGCGTGCCCCCCCTTCTCATGAGGGATGGAACGTAATGAGTCCAAGTGAGAGGAGTTCACTCCTGCCAGTGCCAGCATGGCCAGCTCACTCCAGCACTTGTATGCCCCAGTACTCACCTCATTTGCTCACGTGCTACCTCCTGCAAGGAGTCGAGAGCTGTGGGCTCAGTAAACAGGGCATCCCCTTTATGAGTCCCATGAAGGGATCAGGGAAATGCCAGCTTCAATAGCCTCACTTGCTTTAGAACTGGACAGGTCATCAGTGGCCTGTGGGGTATGCAGAAAGTGTAGTGTAGTGTAGTGGTTAGGATACAGTCTCTGGACACAAACTGCTTAGTTTAAATCCCAGTTCTGCCACTTACTATGGGATTCAAACCAAATGTAACCTCTTCATGCCAGAATTATCTTTCCAGAAAAAGGGGAGTTATAATAGCATGTACTGTTCATGGTCATTTTGAGGCTTAAATATTACACACACATATATGTGTATATGCACATATATACATCTATACATACATATATATGCACATATATACATACATATATATATATATACTTTTTTAAAGTATCCAGTAATATGATAGTAAGCTCAATAAATAAGTGTTAGAAATTATGATATGAGTAACATTATTCTGAAATTTTCAGTAGGACAATTCTGTGTGACATAAACTAATGTTTATTTTGGTCTGTTTTTTTTTTTAACTAGGTTTTTCTTGCCTATATTTGGGAAATGGAGGCAGCTATGCATATCATCCACATTCCATATATTAATGCCTCACTTAAGAATTTTAAGTTCTGAAAGCCCACCAAGCACACTAAAACAATCCATTTCATTTATTCTGTGCATCTGTACAGATTGCTAGTTTATGCCAGGCATTATACTGATAAAATAAAAATGGATATGACACAGCCCCTTCCTTGAGTTGCAAAATAAGGGAGACATAGATATATTGGAAAAAAAATGGCAAAATTTAAGGAAGAAAAAAGATTCTGTGGGAACATGATGAGTTAAGGTCCCCCAGTGGAGAGATAGTGGCCATCTGCTGTAATTTCTTTGCTGGACAAGTCAGGTCTGCAGCATAGTACTGCAGCAAAGTTCTGGCTTACTTGGATGGGTAACAACTTGTTTGCATGCTGTGAAGCATGGATCCAACAGAGACCTGAAAGTGGCATCAAATGGTGAAGCCAGATAAACTAAAACCAGACCTCTCAGTCCTGACTGTGCATTAGAATTATTTGGAGAGCTTTTTAAAAGTATTCATGTTTCAGTCTTCCACCAGAATAATTAAACCAGAATTCCGGGGATGTGAGGTCAGACATCAGCATTTTTCTTTTTCTTTTCTTTTCTTTCTTTTTTTTTTTTTTTTGAGACAGATTCTCGCTCTGTAGCCCAGGCTGGAGTGCAGTGGTGCGATCTCAGCTCACTGCAACCTCTACCTCCCGGGTTCAAGTGATTCTCCTGCCCCAGCCTCCTGAGTAGCTGAGACTACAGGCATGTGCCACCATGCTTGGCTAATTTTTTGTATTTTCAGTAGAGACGAGGTTTCACCATGTTAACCAGGATGGCCTCTATCTCCTGACCTCGTGATCCGCCCACCTCGGCCTCCCAAAGTGCTGGGATTACAGGCATGAGCCACCGTGCCCAGCCCAGTATTTTTTAATACAGTTGGATTTAATGGGCAGCTTGAGTAGAAAACCACTTCTCTAAAGTGTCAAGTCAAAGGAGAAAGGCACAGGAGCAGAAAAAAAGCATACGCACACCATAGATCCTTGCTACCCAAAGTGTGTTCCATGAACCAACAGTGTCAGCATCATCTTGGAGCTCATAGAAATGCATAATCTCAAGGCTCACCCCACTACGTTCTACAGTTTCACAAGTTTCTCTATAATTCCTTTGCATGTTAAAATTTGAGAAGCTCTGCCATAGATTTTTGATAATTTCAATCACCTCCTATCTGTTCTCCCTGCTTCTACCCTTACTGTCTGGATTTTATATTGCTGAGCTTATATTGCTGAGGACTAAGTGTCTGTAATATCTGAGCTTACTTGAATTGCTATAAAAAGAATTGTCTAGATTCCCATTAAAGGAACAAAACCACATACTGCTGAGAACAGATATCACGAAGCAGTCAATGTTGAACCAGAAATCATGGGTGGAGAAACGGCCCTATAAATGCTGAACCTAAAAAGATTGGCACATTTCAGCAGCCTAAGACCAGGACTTTTTTTTAAATCACAGCAGCCATCTTAGCAATAGGGACATTTGTAACTAAAGTTCTATTCTCCTCTTCTGTCTCCAGGCCTTCTTATCAAGATAACAAATTGTAACCCATACTAGGACAATCAGAAATACATCTAATATTCTTTTGACTCATTATTTGATTGGTGCTAAAATCCGGTAATGTACTTGGGTGTGAAGGAAGATCTGCTGCAAAAGCATCACTTTAATTATTAGAGGACCTGATGCTGAAATGAAAAACCTCTTCAAGAATTGGGTTCCTGTCAACCAAATGGGAAAAGAGCTTGAAAATAACTGTCTTTGGAATTGGTGTTTTACACTGATTAAATTTTTCTAACTTTAAGACCATAGCAAATCCATAATTTATTGAGTAATAAACCTGAAGCCAAAAATAGCAGAAATTTCTATTTGTTCTAAACCATAGAATTCAGATACCCACCTATTTCTATCAAAAATTGGAGTAGAGAGTTCAGAAGATTCTAGAATGTATCAACCAAAAACAATATTTTAAGATACAATGTTTTCTTGTTATTTAGCTCTTAATCATCTACAAAATTTTAAAACATATTTTCCCACTTAATCCCTAAAATGACCCTATAGAAAATGAATTACTTATATCAAGTTTTTACTGCAAAAATAATTTAAGATTTGGAACACACCTGGGGTTAAACAAAATCACATAACAGTTTTGGTTAGATCCATATCCGTGCTAAATCTATATCAGAACCAAACCATTTGACACCAAATTTTCAAACCCACTCCATGCCATTAAATGATCTCTCTAATGCTTTCATTAATCACATTCTTGAGAACTGGGAATCTTTCTCTCATTTCTATTGCCCAAGCAGTTTGAAAAAAAGCACCAGAGGTTCTGATCAACTGGCTCCTATGTTTTGCCACTGGCAAAGAGTTCCCAACTTCATTCTCCCGATTCCCTTAAGAAGGGAAAAAGCAATGTCCTCAAAGCATAATCCCAATTCCATTAAAAGGAAATTGTACTTTGTTCGTTGCTTACTGACAGAGCCCCAGTGCCTTCTCAAATCAAATTGATTCCCAAACAAATCAGAGTAGCTTTTGTTTAAGCAATGAAAGCTGTGCAAAGAGAGAGAGAGTCTCTGTTGGTCCTGTGTTAGATTTCAAGCAATTAGTCAGTCACAGTCAGGATTTATGGTACTATTTTAGTCACCAGCTATAAATATAGAAGAGGTCTTGTTTTTCTTGTTGTTGTGATTGTTTGTTTGTTCTGATTTGAATTGAGCACTGATTAGCATAGAAAAATCAGCTCATAAAATGAATGCCAACATTTAAACAACAATTATGGAGATGCAATTAAAACTTAATGTTGGGAGATTTTTGTACCCTACAGGAGAACATCTGCCCAACAGCCAGGTGGGCACATGTGAATGGTGTAAAAGCAAGACAACCTGCTAACCTGATCTTCAGGAGAGTAATCTATACTGCGTGAAGGTCACACTAGAGGGTTGTTTTGTCCTGAAAGGAGAGATTGAGGCAAGGGCCAAATAATGTGGACATATTCTAATTCTGAATCCTTGAAAAGAATTAAAAGCCATCTCTGAGTATAAAAAGGGACAAATTAACATAATTATTCCATTTCCATCCAGTTAGAGAGCATCTGCACTGTATTTATATGTGGATTCTTTCCCCACCTCTGGCTAAATCTTGTCAACTCATGGGAGGTATTCAGTCCCTACCCTTGACCTGATGTTATCTTATTTTTCTTTTCTTTAATTTGTGTCCTTAATGATGTTAACTCATATTCTGTATCTTTACAAACTTCCCCACATTCTTTTTGGGATGGATAGAAAATCAAACAATCATCTTTCTTTTTGAAAAAAAAAGTTTTCTGACAGATTGGCTGTCTATCTCCTTTCTCTCTGTTCCCTAAATCTAAGACTTTGCTTATATTTGTGCTGGTAATAAATCATGTGGGGACCTAAAAGATCCCAACTCAATTCTGTTGAGAGAATTACCGTAGAGAAGACACTATCCACCCAGAATATGCCTCCTGCTTGAAACATCTGGGGGCAGAAACTTCATCTTCTATATTTACATATGCCCACCAACTAGCTCAGTGTTTAGTTCAATATAGCTCATTAGAATTTTTTAATTAAATTGAGGAAGTGCAGGCAAAATGATAAAATGTCTACTGCATGGTGCATGCTCAAATAACCTGTCCTCAGGAAAATTTATATGAAATAGTAACTTTTAGGTTGAGTTTCTAGGCATCTTGAAACTCTGATGTTAGTGTTAACCGAAACTGTGAGATATGAGACTATTACTAAGGCATTGATCTTTTTAATAAAAATTTTAGGCAGCAGCAAGGAGTAGGAAATATAATTTCTGATTGCATAGAAGTATTCCACACTGAGCTGGACAGAAATTCTGGCTCCTACACAGGAGAGTAATTAAATGCACAAGCTGACAGACTCAGGTTTGAAATTAAGTTCTACCATTTATTATTGTTGTTACTTTGGGCAAGTTATTGGAACCCTCCCAGATACACTTCCTTCACCTATAAATTGGAAGAAATAATAATACCTATACTATGGAGTTGTGCTGTAAGTGTTACAAAGGGAAGAGCTTAATGGAATGCTTGCACATGATAGTTCAATGCTTGCAATAAATAGTGGAATGCTTGCAATAAATATTAGTGGTGCTGGTTTTCTCCTCACTGAGTTTGCTCACAGGCTTAAGTCACTTCTTGGGTCAGCATGAGTTTATCCTGTAGGACATTCCTTGCCCACACTCTTTGGCACATCATTTTGTCTCTCTACTGCATTGTTCTCATTATCACATGAGTAGTCTGTAATAACTCTCATTTCTAAATCTCTCCTCTAGTACCCTATGACCCCCTCTAGCTACAGTTCTACTTCGCAGATGCCCTGTATAGTAAACTCCTGGACAGGATATGTGCCATCATGCTGTTCACTTCTGTACTTCCCTTTTTCTAGTAACCCACTTCCATTTGGCCTTCATCTCCATCACTCTGCAAAAGCCACATGTCAAGGTAACTAATATTACCCTCATCTTCTCAAATCCGTTGGTCAATGTTCAGTCCTCATCTTATTTGACCTCTTGGAAACATTTGACACAGTTGGTTATTTCTTCTTTCTTAAACCCTTTAGTCACTCGGTTTCTGGGAAATTCCTTTCTTTTGGTGTCTCTCCTTCCTCATTAGCTGCTTCTCAGTTTTACTTGCTAGGAACTCCTCCTCTTCCCTAAATGTAAACTTTATCAGACCCCAGTCCTTTCCCTCGTTTCTACATATACTCATTCACAAAATAATTTTACCTGATTTCATAGCTTTAAATACATTTTGTTTGCTGATTCCTTCTGCATTTGTATTGCTGTCATTGCCCTCTTCCCTGAGTTGCCACTAATCTATTCAAGTGGTTCAGTATCTCTACTTAGGTTTCCAATAGGTATCTCAACCTTACGTGTTGATTTTGCCCTGAAGCTTCACCCAAGTTTTTTCAGTAGATAGCATCACTCTTCATCCATTTGCTCGGGGAAAGGGAAAAAATAACTTAAAGTACAAACTCTTTATTGTGTTCTCCTTCTTTCTCAGGTATCATCTTATTGATTCAGCAGCACCCACATTGACCATCTTGCTGATCCTTAACTTATATAAAATAGTTCATCCCAGGGTCATTATCTTTGATAATCCTTCATCTTTGATGGTCCTTTTGCCTTCCTGAGATGACCTTTTTCTATATCTTCATGAGTTGTGCTCCTTCGATCATTCGAAATGTCACTTCTTCAGACAGGTCTTTCCTGAACACCTTATCAAATAGGGTTTTCATCATTTATTTCCCCTAATCATCTTACAATTTGTTGCATAGATTTATCTTTTTTAAAATTTTTGGTAATTATATGATTAGTGTATCCATTTGCTTCTTGAGCATCTCACTCACTGAACTGGAAATGCCAAAGCAAAAGGTGCTGCCTAGACACTCAAAGGAGGACACTACACCCAAAAGGCTCAAGCCAATGAACAAAGACATAAGAACTTGGAGGCGTCTCTCCTGCCTAAGACACTGAGCTCCCTCTTTTGTTTTTTGTTTTTTTTTTTTTTGGCTGCTTCCTTTGAACAAACAACTCAGGCATTGACTGTGAACGTAAAGCAACCCACACACTAACACACTATTCCCTTATATATATATACTGCTAGTTGCCTTGTTCCCTTTCTTTCTGCCCTACCCCACCTGCCCGCCTCCCTTCTCTCTCTCTTTCTCTCTCTCTGTCTCTTTCTGTCTGTCTTTATGTCTCTATGCCTCTTTATTTCTGCTTCACATGACTCAGGGATGGAGGACTGCTCTTTCCATTTGACTCGTTGCACCCTCCCTGTCCAAGGTCTGTAAGTAATAAACCCTTGAATGTATTTTATATAGTGTTGGTATTAATTTTGCACCTTCCATCAGAAGAACCAGGGGCTGCCTTAAGCCAGGTGTCCCCTTAAATGCTGGAGAGAACACAAGGTCAGGCTCCCAGTGCCAGACTGATAGGCAAGTACAAACTGGGCATGGGTCAGACAAGAGCCACAAGGATGTTTGCCAGTATAAAGAAGTTTCTATGTGAGGGGCCCCTGATCACAGGTGAGACAAGCAGGCATTAATGCCAGGTAGAAGGTGTATTCCATGAAAGGCACACTGTAAACGGCCACCTCTGTCTTCCTATCATTTCCCATTAGAGCAGGTTTTCTAGCTGCTCTGGTACTGGAACCCCAATTTAGTTGGGGGCTCTAAAAACACTCACCTACCAGAATTTAAGCTCAGATAGACTAAGATCTTTGTCCATTTCTTCACTGTGTCCCCAGCTCCCTGATTATAATAACTTTCCAAAAGTATTTGTTAAATGACTGAACAGACAGGACTTAAGAATCTCATTCATACTCAGGCTTTTGAAAGTCATTTACAAAATCATCATTCTCAGTAAACTATCACAAGAACAAAAAACCAAACACCACATATTCTCACTCATAGGTGGGAATTGAACAATGAGAACACATGGACACAGGAAGGGGAACATCACACTCTGGGGACTGTTGTGGGGTGGGGGGAGGGGGGAGGGATAGCATTAGGAGATATACCTAATGCTAAATGATGAGTTAATGGGTGCAGCACACCAGCATGGCACATGTATGCATATGTAACTAACCTGCACATTGTGCACATGTACCCTAAAACTTAAAGTATAATAATAATAAAATAAAATAAAATAAAGTCATTTACAGAAAATGTATATTCTATATACTTAAAACCTTGATATTTTCATTTGTATCCTCAAAGTTCTCAGACACTGAAACACCCCCTGAAAACAGAAGCGTAAAATTAGTAGCTCTGGCCCTGCCATTTACTATTTGAGTCCCGAAGAAAAAGTCACTTAAACTAGCAACTAAATTACTCAAGTTGTAAAATGGCAACAATGACACCTGCCATCACTAACCTAGAGAATTGTCAAATGAGGAAAGAAGCCATCATTGATCATGCACCTACTATATATCAGGCATTGTATGTCTCTCACACTTGTCTTTTCTGAATTATTACAATGACTTTGTAACTTATTTCATTGACTTCACCCAAGCAATCCATTAAAATGGCCTTGGAATAATTATAAAAATATAAACCTTATCTTATCACTTCTAATGACCAGGACGCTTTCCTGTAGCTCTCCATTGAGTAGGTAATGAAGCCAAAATTCCTTTCAGTTGCAAAGACAACCTTTATGTTCTGGCTTCTGCCTCATTCTCCTTAATTTCCTCCAGCTCAGCTTGTATCACCTGAAGTTCTCAAAATATCACCCACTTGCTGGTCCCCAAATAAAACAAGCTGTTTCTCTCTATTTAATTCTGTATTTTCTGTGTCTTCTGCTTGGATTTCCTCTCCATCCTTTGTCTACATGTCAAACTCCCAGATACAGGTAATCACTTGCATGAAGTCTACACTAGAACATCCCCAAACCTCCATGAGAGTTAATCACCTTATATTATTTCTATATCTTTTATATGCAATCATAATCCTTAATACATTGTACTGTTTTTTGATTGCCATATATTCTACAAGTTACTTGAGGGCTATAACCAAGTCATCTTTATATCTTCAGATAGTAAGCACACAGTAAATGCTCTATAAAAGTTTGTTAGAAGAATTAATTTCCTCATATAATCTTATAACTTTATTCTATCAGGTTGGTGTTACTATTCCCATGTTCATCAAAGAACGTTATACAAATGTGTCATTAATATTGTCTAATTTTATAAATATGTAAGATTAATTTAGACTTTATGTATATCTAAGTGTGAGCCTTTGTAATTTTTTTATATACAGTAGTATTCAGTGATTTGCCCTTGGGTCAAAATAGTACTCAGTGGGTTTTCCAAACCATGCATATCAGCTTTATGCAATTATAAAAGTGCTAGAAGTGCTTCCCAAATACTAATGATACTAAAATATTAAAATATTCTAGAATAATATTAAAATATTCTCACTTTGCCTCCCCATTTCTTCCATAGTCTTTTCTAAAGACTGTCTGGAGCCTTTTGAAATCACTAGGTCCCACGTCCATTTATTGACACTAATTAAGACAAAGAATGAAGCTAATTGATTGGGAGAAGCCAGGGCTGCATTTATTTACACAAGAAAGGCAGTGTAGAAAGAGTGGACAGAGTTTGATGAGTGCTAGCAGACATGAGGAGCAATGAGAGAGATGGGAACAGGATTTGGAATAAGTGACTCTCGAGAAGACAAGTGGGAACGGAAATACTTGAAGAGTATTTGGGGGAAATTTTCCTGTGTTTTATGTCACAAAGTATTTTATGCTGCTTCTCCAAAGGACACAAAATTGCATTTTATTTCAAGGCTCTAGGAATCAACATAGTAACTTTTAAAACACTAGACCACAGAGAAACAGACCTGAAAAAGTAGGAACAGAAGGCCCAGAATTACTTGCTTTATATTGGAAACAGTGAGCCACATGATTTCTCCACTATCAGGCTGTGTGTGTGTGTGTGTGTGTATACACATTTATATATAATGTAATATGTACTTATATTTAATTATAAATAAATATAATATACATATTATATTTATTTATTTTATTTTAACAAGAAAAGTCCAGTATAGATACATTAAACTCACAGAACTATATATACTGAAAATGACTATAAAATGCTCTGGTCCAAATATATCACAGCCTATCATTTCTTGCTAATAGCTCTTATTTATTCATTTGACCTATATTTATTAAAAATTTAAATCTGCAAGAACCCATGTAGGATAGTGAAAAATCTCCTCCTTCACCCCTCACCCCAAAAACTCACACCAGTATGCATGCACACACACACACACACACACACACACACACACTCCCACACATTCCCACTCACACACATATCCAAACACAGGCTTAAGAAGAAAGACAGTGATGAACAAGTTTTAGAATGAAAATTAGATTCTGGAGAAGTGAGTGTTGAAAATTCATATGAAAGAACTGAGAACCTAATATAGGGGAGAGAAAATTTTGGGGGCAAACCCAAGTATGCAGAATGGGAATCAAGGTCTGATATGTGATCTGATGGAAGGCCTGACACAGGAATAACATGGGGAAGAAGAAGAAGGAAGAAAGAAAGAGGAAGACGAAAGAGGAAGATGGAAGATGAAAGAGGAAGAGGAAGAAGAAGAAGAGGATGGGCAGGAGGAGGAGGAGGAGATGGGGAAGGAGGAAAGAGAAAGAGAAAGAAGAGCTGAAGTGGGCGAATCATGAGGTCAGGAGATCGAGACCATCCTGGCCAACATAATGAAACCCCGTCTCACTAAAATACAGAAAATTCGCTGGTGTGGTTGCGCACACCTGTAGTCCCAGCTACTGAGGAGGCTGAGGCAGAGGAATCACTTGAACCCGAGAGGTGGAGGTTGCAGTGAACTGAGATTGCACCACTGCACTCCAACCTGGGTGACAGAGCGAGACTCCATCTCAAAAAAAAAAAAAAAAAAGAAAGACTAAGAAGAGGAAGAAGAAAAGAAGAGGAGGAGGAGGAGGAGAAAGGGAAAACGTACTGGGAACAAGTACTTGGTGGAGGAAAAGGGGGATACTGAACGACTGACTGCCTCAATGCTCAATGACGCAGCAGGAATACAACTATTGGGTGAGTTTGGCTGGTTATGAGCAGAGAGTCAACCCAAATACATGGCTGTTTAATATGGAAAAAGAGTCCTCAGAATATTATATTCTAAATTGGAAGATAAAGCAGATTATAATGATAATCATTATGCTTTGTAGCTATTACATGTTTATTTATTGTTGCTTCTCAGGAATTTTATCAGATACTTCAGTATGAATTGTCCCACTCAAACTTTACAACAACACTGTGAATAGTTAATATTATTTTGCCCATTTTCACGTGGGGGAACTTCAGAGATGATAAATAAGTTATTCAAGTCATTCATGTAGTAGATGAGAATCTAGGGAAAAAAAACTATAATACACGAGCTCCCATTCAAAAACAGCATGAGGTAACCACTACCAAGTACTGTAAAGAAAAAAACAAAATGTGGGCAGAGATACTATTATAATCAGAGGTATCCTGAGATCATTTAGCAGGCTGACATTGATTTGGGCTATGAAAAATGAACAGTAACAATCATTCTCACTTCAGTTAATATAAACATTATTATTCTGATTAGTAGCTCTGGACAATTAATTAGAAATTATTTTTGATAATACACTATCTTCCATACCCCACATCTATTCTGTCAACCCATATTACCAGCTTTATTTTTGAAATATACTCAGATATACCAATTTGCTGCTATAATGGAGGATTGTGTAGCAGACTGAGGCTCTCATCAAAATAAACTAGAAAGTTGAGATAAAAATTACAAACAAATCAACACACACACACACACACAGAGCTGAATGTGATAAGGACATGCCAAGGTAATAAGGACTTGAGAAGTTAAGATTTTTGAAGGAGGAAAGTCACACAGAGGTGGGCTAACAGTCTGCATACTAATTTTCTTCTTGGGATATTTGCCTATTTGTGGCCATATCAATGTCCTTCTTAAATAGAGAAGTCAGCAGAATTTTTAGCTATAAGATAGGGATGTGAAGATGGGAATTGGAGTCTGGATTTTCAAAGACAGCCAGGACCTGATGGGCTAGTACCCTAGACAGAAAAAAAAAAAAAAAAAAAGGACTAAGGAAAAAAGGCTAACAGTTCTTTTCCACTTAACCTATTTACCTATTTCTTAAGCTATTTAGGGATAAAAGTTAAGAAGTTAAGCAGAAAGCTGCTTAAAAGTAAAGCAAAATTTTAAGCAACCTCAAAGAGCTTAGCAGAGACAAATGAGGTATTAGACCTTCCAAGAAATAAGAGCCCTTAAAAATACCAGAGGCCATCATTTTAGGGTCCTAGAGAGACACATCCTAGGCAGGAGCAAACTATAGATAGATAGGGTTTTATTTTTTTTTTTTTCAGTCAAAAATGAATAGCATACCAAAGAAGAGGAAAAAAAGAAAAAAACACACATTAGAAACAGACCTATGGATGGAATTATCAGAGATTTTAAAATTGTGATTAATATCAACAATAAAATAGATGACAAGAAGTAGTATTACACAGAGAACTGGGCTCTATAAATATAATCAAATTGAAACTCTCAAAATAAAAAATAAATTAACTAGAATTAATTAAGAATTGAATGGATGGATTTTACTACAGATTGAATATAGTGAAAGAGACATTTAGTGAAGTAAGAGATAGATCAGAAGGAAATATTCATGCTGAAGAACAGGGACCAAACAGAATAGAAAATACCAAAAAGAGAGTATAATAAGTTTATGAAACAGAGCAGTTCCAGAATGGGATGAGATAGCAAATGCATTATATTTAAATGCATTATATTTAAATGCATTATATTTAAATATAATGACCAAAAGTCTTCAAAAACTGATGAGAAGACATTAATATATTGAATACAAGGGTAGCTATAAGTAACAAGCAAGATAAATACAAATAAGTAATTCCTAGTTATAACAGAGTAAAAATACTAAGATATAAAGACCAAATTAATAAAAGCAAACCACATAAAATAAAAGATATAATACTTTAAAGGATCAATAGTAAGATTTACCACTGATTTCTCACAGAAACATGTAAGCCAGGACAGAACAAAATGACAGACTTTAAATATTTAAAATATGACTGTCAGTTTATCCTATAATCAGTAAAAATGTCCTTCAAAAGTAATAGTGAAATAAAGACATTTCCAGAAAAACAGAAACTGAGATAATTTGTAGCCACTATACTCACTCTAAGAGAAATACTAAGGGGAGTATATTCAAGCATAAGAAGAAATACTAAAGCGGTAAGAAAATTAAGCCCAGATGGAAATATGAACATGAAGCGTGGATTACAGAATGATAGAAAGGGTTAATATCTAAGTAAATCCAGACAGATATTACCATCTTAAAGAATAACACTACAAATATTTGTAGAATTAAAATGCATGACGACAATAACAAAAAGGCAAAAGGAAGGTAGAAAGAGTTAAAGTGCTCTAAGGTCCTAGAAAATTTATTCACTTGTATTAAATTATAATAAGTCAAAAGTGATTGCTGTAACATCTCAGAGAAGCACAAATTAATAGTAAATTATTTAGTATAAATAGCAGTGAGATGTATAAATAACAAGAAGAAATAAAGCAATAAAATATTTCATCCAAGAAAAGCCAGGAGATGAGATAAAATGAAACATTATACATGTAAGAAAAATTTTAAAAAATAGTAAGAGAGTAAACATAAAGCCAAATATATTAGCACTTATGTTGAAAGTAAATGTCTCACCAAGTGGCAATGACCAAAAAAAAGTGGAAAATAATAGTGGGGGGTGAGAATGTGAAAAAACTGGAATACTCATACACTACTGGTGAGAATGTAAAACCGTGCAGCTGTTGTAGAAAAACTGTTTGGCAGTTCCTCAAAAAGTTAAACAGAATTACCATCATCCAGCAAGTTCACTCCTAGGTATACACACCAAATAATTGAAAACAGGTATTCAAACAAATACTTGTACATCAATGTTCATAGCAGCACTACTCAGAACGGCCAAAAGGCAACCCAATTCACAACAGCCAAAACAATACAAATGTCTATCAGCTAATGAGTGGATACTGTGGTATATCTATACAGTGGAATATTATTAAGACATAAAAAGGAATGGAGTACTGACACATGCCACATTATAGATGAATCTTGATAATGTGATGTGAAGCAAAAATGTCCGAGACAAAAGGTCATGTATTATTTCATTTATATAAAATATCCAGAATTGATAAATTCATAAATATATAAAGAAGATTTCGTGGTTGCCAGTGTTTCTGGGGATAGAAAAATGGGGAACAAGTGCTTAATGCTTATGGGGTTTTCTCTGAGGGTGACGAAAATGGAGACTAAATTGTAGTGACAGCTGTACAACTTTGTGAATGTATTAAATGCATTTAATTGTACACTTTAAAATGGTAAATTTTATGTTGTGAATCTCACTCAATAAAATATTTAAGTACACACTTATTTCAATTAAGAGAAAAAGATTTTCAGACTAGATAGTAAAACCCAAGTATATGCAGCCTATAATAAACATAATTTAAAAGTCACAATATAGAATGGCTGGAAGTAAAACAATGGAAAAGTGATTCCATCAAGTCACTAACAGAAATAAATCCTCAATGGCTTTACTAATATATCAGACAATATATATTTAAGAAAAAAAGCATAGCAAAGGCATTTCTTAATGATAAAATAATTATTTGGAAAATAGAACAATTCTACATTTGTATGTACTAATAACATGCTTTCAAAAAATATAATATAAACATTGAGTTCACTAAAAGGAGATACAGGCAAGTCCATAACCAGAGAGGGCCCCTAGATTTATTGGGGTTTATTGATGAACCACCCAGACTCTCTTTACCAGGTTGTTAAACGCATTCTCTAGCTACTATGCATGCTGGCTGTTCTATGTGCCCCTTCTATAGAGTGTCGTTAGCCCAAAGGATGGTTAGTTACCTGGGAAACTAGACTCCCAACCCCTGCAGCAGCCCACACCCAGTGGGCTGGTGTTTTGCCTCAAAGTAGTGCCTACTTTGTGTTGCAATTCATGCTCTTGATCTCCTCATGGGATCAGGCAGAAGGCAGTCTCCTGCTTATATCACGCCCTTGCTTGGCTTCTTGCACTTACCATACACCACTTCCCTCATTCTCAACACATCACCTTCCCAAGAATCCCCATCTCAGACTTGGGATCTAGGGAATCTAACTGAAGACAGAGTTTACAGGCTTTTGTCAGTAACTGATAGGAGACCTGGATAAAAGAATAACAATATTTGAAAGACATAGAAAATACAAATAACAAAATTGACTTAATTGACGTTTGTACAAGAGTGTACCCCACAATAAGAGGATACATTATCTTCAAGCATACATGGAGTATTTATCAAAATTAACATATAATAAGTCAAAAAGTAAACGTCAAAGAAATTTAAAGTATTGAAATTATTAAAACTATATGTTCTGATCACATCAAAATTAAGCTAAAATGAAAAATAACTAGAAAGTATTCAAGTTTTAGTAACTTGAGCAATGCATGTCTAAATAACTCCAAGGTCAAAGAAAATATCACAATGTAATTTTGAAAGTGCTTTAAACTAAATGATAGTGAAAATACACCATACAACATTTGCAGGATGAAATTTAGAGTGCCTATAGAAGAAAATGTCAAAACTTAAATGCATATCTTAGAAAAAATGAAAATTGGTGACTTAACTATCCAGAAGTTAAGAAAAAACTCTGAGAAAATATAACCCATACAAAGTAGAGGAAAGTAAGAATAACAGAAATAATGTAAGAAAAAAATGTTGAATAAAGAAAATCAACAAAGTTAAAAGCTGTTGCTATGAATGGATGAATAAATGTGAAAATCTCCTGCCAAAACTAATGAAAAAAATAAAACAGAAATTATTAAATCAAGAATGGAAAAGAAGGTATCATGTAGATTTTATGGACACCACTTTACACCAATGAAGTTAACAATTTAGATAAACTAGAGAAACAAAATTTTGTATTACTGAAAAATTGAGAAATAGAAAATATAAACAATCTTATATTTATTAAAGCAATTGAGATTGTAATTAAAAACCCTCTCATCCTGTAATAATTAGACCTAGAGAAACTGTCTGGTGAATTATCTGGTGGCCTCTAATAGGCCAAATAATTTATTACACAAACCAGGATACATTGGGGCATGAAAAAGAGACTATTATTATTGTTATTATTATCTTATAAGGCAGGGTCTTATTCTGTCAACCAAGCTGGAATGCAGAGGTTTGATCATTGCTCACTGCAGTAATGACCTCCCGGGCTCAAGGGGTCTTTTGGCCTCAGCCTCCAGAGTAGCTGGGATTACAGGCATGTGTCACTACACCAGGATAAAAAGGTGCTATTAATTTGTTTGGAAAATAGACATAAACCAGGACTGTTGCAAATAACGGGCTTTTGGCTACCACACACGAAAGGCCCTACGTAACCTTGTCCTGCTTTTCCTTATGCACTGCACTTCAGCCTGTTTGGCCTCCCCAGTGACCCTGGAGCACCCCAAGCATGCTTCTGCCTGGGAGCATTTGCATTGGTATTGCCTCTGCCGTTAATAGCATTTCTGTTAGATATCTTGGTGACTTGCTCTTTGCTTCTTTCAAGTTTCCTGTTAAATGATACCTTATCAGAGTTGCCTTCCCTGACTACACACTCCAACCCATCTCATTCTCTATCACCTAAACTTTCTTTATTTTTCTTATTGCATCTATTTGCTGAAGTAGGTTTGAGATCATAACCCAAGTTTCGATTTACAAAGCACGAACAGCTAACCAGAAAGGGGATGTTGGTACTGGCATAATGAGAACTTTGAAAGCTTCAAAATGGTTTGCATACAATTTAGTCAAAACTGTGGTGCCTCTGATAATTTTTGACCAGGCAAATGAAATGATGGAAGTGTGCTTTAGGAGGATTAACAAGGTAAACCTGTGTCAGTGGAGCCCTGGGCTCTAAGTAGCTACACCAGTCCCTCAAAAATGGAGTTCTGGAATTGTACTCCTACTGCCACACACTTGATTTCAAATATGGTTTATGCCTTTTCAGTTCTCCTGCCTTCTGGTTAGAGAATCTGGATATTAACATTGGTCTCAATATGCCTGAGTCCACCACATCCAATAGTAGTAACTCATAAAGGGCCATAGTATCCATAGGACCCCTTCCAATGAAGCCAGCCCTCTACAGCTGGGCAGATACTCCAATACAGTTTCTACTGTTACACCTTCCTCTCCTCTTCCATATTCAACAATATGGTGGTCCCAGAGTGCCTTGCCACTGAACCAGCTTGAATTAAACCAGAAGTAACAGAGCTTGACAAAATTTTGAAATGAAAGAACAGGGAAAAGGGGGAATCATGACGAATACCAAATTTTCAATCCTGAGTAATGGGAAGCATAATCATTCACTTGCATGAGTGGAAGAACAAGAGAAAAACTGATTATTTCAGTTTAAAGCATATTGATTTTGAGGACATGGCAGAATCTTCAGGACAAATATCTAGAAGATACCTAGGAATGTGGGGTTCAAAACTAGGAAGTAAGTCTGTATGTGGGACTCAGATTTGGAGATCATTGTATCAATGTGATATTTGAAGCTGAGAAAGCAATGGAGATAAGCAGAAAGGAAAAGTAGGAGGGAGTAAGCCATTTTTTTGTGAGATATGAGGGTGAATTTAATCAGGATGATGAGGAAAAGAAGTAAGAGATGAAGTGTACTAACTTAAAAAAATCTATATATTTTTAAAGGAGAAGAAGACTTCATTTCTTATAAGGCATTACTGCCTGCAAGGTGACTATCCTGCAGACTTGAAAGTATGTCTCTGGCCAAGACCAGAGACAGGTACTTTGAAGTAGGAGGGGATGGGGTAGGAACTTTATGTTAAGTGGGTTGGCTAAACATACATATTCAACAGGTTATAGGAGGAGCTATAAATATTCATTAAGGTGGTCCTAACACATGCATATAAAACAAGCATGCATGTAACATATGGCCTATGTTTACTTTGGGTGGAGACTTAACATTTAAATGTATTACAATTAGGCCTTATATGTCCAAAGGTCTTTTCAGGACAAGGAAGCACACAAGTGCATGACCTCTATAAACCACTACAATCAGACCTTGGCCTTTGGCTTTTTTTTTTTTTTTTTTTTTTTTTTTTTCAGACCGAGTTTTGCTCTTGTTGCCCAGGCAAGAGTGCAATGATGTGATCTCAGCTCATCGCAACCTCCGCCTCCCGGGTTCAAGCAATTCTCCTGCCTCAGCCTCCAGAGTAGCTGGGATTATAGGCATGTGCCAGCATGCACAGCTAATTTCATATTTTTAGTAGAGATAGGGTTTCTCTATGTTGGTCAGGCTGGTCTCGAACTCCTGACCTCAGGTGATCTGCTCACCTCGGCCTCCCAAAATGCTGGGATTATAGGTGTGAGCCACCACGCCCAGCCTCTAGTCTTCTTATCTGGAAGGAAGTCACTGAAATCAGTCTCTTGTCCAATAACAGCTACAGTTATGGCTGGTAAAACAGGTTCAGTTAGCGTCTGTGAGCTAGAGTTGTAATTGTTTTAAGACTGCTTATTTCAAGGCCAGTGCTTGTTTAGCTACCAGAGAAAAAGAAAAACCTTATGGAAATCAGAACACGTTATTTAACTATAGGGGTGCATGACTTAACCCTTGTCTGGCATGGCCTCAGAGCCTGTTCATAATTTTTTTTTTTTTTCAGACGGAGTCTTGCTCAGTCACCCAGGCTGGAGTACAATGGGGCGATCTCTGTTCACTGCAATCTCCGCCTCCCGGGTTCAAGCAATTCTCCTGCCTCAGCTTGCCAAGTAGCTGGGATTACAGGTGCCTGCCACCACACCCGGCTAATTTTTGTATTTTTAGTAGAGACGGGGTTTCTCCATGTTGGCCAGGCTGGTCTCGAACTCCTGACCTCAGGTGATCCACCCACCTTGGCCTCCCAAAGTGTTGGGATTACGGGTTTCAGCCACCGTGCCCAGCCCGTGTTCATAATTTTATATTTTATTGCTGCAAAGATTCTGTTATTTCAGTCTTATGATCTCTACTTTAACATTAATACTGGTCAGTTGTTGTGTCTAAACCACAAAAGGAAGGGGGTATAATGAGGCATATCTGATCTCCCTTCCCATCATGGCCAGTAACTCAGTTTCAAGATTTTTCTGGGGTCCCTTTGGCCAAGTCAGTGGGGGACTTAGGATTTTATTTTAGTGTACAAGAGAAAAGGGCAGGTCATTTTAATAGCATGTGAGTGGTGGATAGGCATAGACATTGGAGTAGAATATCTGGAAGAGCTGCTGTAAGGAAGATGAGTAGACTCACAAGAGAATAGCATGACAATCAGCTAAGAGGACCTAGGTGAGATCAATCTATAAGAGACAGAGATGACGTGGTTTTATGATTATACTTTGTGTAACTACCTCAGATAGGAGTAGAAAAAGCAAGCAGTGGGAGCTTACTCAAATTGTCATTTACCCCACAGGCTTAGAATTGATCTGGTATCTGCAGATTGACAGTCTACATGAGCTGTCAAGATGTAAGGCATTCTAGGGGATGAAGTAGCATTGAGCTGACAGCTCCATCGAGAAGTCCTGCCTTTTGTTCAAGTCCTGAAGTAATCACCATGGTCAATAAAAATCTAACTATAAACTCAGAGTGAGGAAGTAACAGAATCACAGAGTATCAAAGCTGGCAGAAAGATAACTCTAAGCCTTCTATAGATTTATTAAGCTGCTGATTGGGTGATTGAATGATTCAACAGGTCTTGAGCAGAGACAATGTAGCAGGCACTGTCCTCAGCCCTGGCAATGCAGATGAGAAATGTAAGGTTCAGAGAGGTGAAGCGACTTAAAGGAAGTCTCACAGGAAATTTGTGACAAAATCATGAGTCTTGCATCTGTTCTTCCACCCTTTGTCCAGTTTCTCACATTTCTCTCTAAGTGCTAGTTTATTTTGTTCCCAAATACAGACTAATTTCTTTGGAAGTAATTGGATATTGTGGCATTTTCTAATTTGTGCTGATTTTATAGCTTGCTTCATTTACTCAAAACCCCTTTTCTCCAAAATAATGGCATAAATGCAACTTTCTCTTGCTTAGACATGATAAGCACGACAGAAATAAAGTCACCTGAGATTTAAAAAAAAAAAATACTATGAAGACAAAGGCAGATATTTAACATTACAAATAAAGTCACCTTCTCTTGCTATCAAATGTTCATTTAAACAGCATAAAATAGAAAACTGATTTTATTGAAGTTCTATTTTAGAAAGACATTCATTTCTCTCTAGCTGTATCATAAAAGTGAGAGTGGAAAACATCATTCTTTATACCTGAAACAAATAGAGAATGGCTGGTTTCATTTCACTAAGAGCTAGTTCATGTGGGTTGGCTCTATGAACAGTACAGGAAGGAAACCTCCTCATATAAAAACAATAATAATATTTTATTACATACAACAGATTCTTTGGGAAGTAAGTGTTCCTGCTCAGCACAATTTAATAAATTTTCTCCACCCTGACAATGCTTCGTTGTTCTGTTGACAACTTGGTTACACTGCGAACTGCATTTCCCAGAACCCTTCCCTGTAAGGTTCTGGCTTAGGGACAGACAGAGTTGAATGATTTCTGGGAGGAGTGATTTCTGGGAGGAAAAAGTAAAGCGACAGTCATTATTACACTCATTATTATGCTCTGAAGTGTATCGTTGTTTAAAAGTAATGAGAGAAAGACACAGCGTGTTGGCAGATTTCAGTTTGGCTAGGTTCTTCTCTACTACACATCAAGCTCTCGTCTCAACTGCTATTTCTACAGTGGTAAGCATAATTCTAAGACAGATTCAAGGTTTTTGCTGCAAGGTATACTCTTCTTGAAAAATGCACTCCTCTTGAGTGTGGGTGGAAGCTGTGAATATGATAGAATATCACTCCCACCTTTAGGCTCCTAATCAGTTGACTTTGAATTAATCAAAAGGAAGCTTCTCTGAAGTGAGTCTGACATAATCATAGGAGCATTTAAAAGGCAGTGTCAAGAGGTTCACTTCTTACTGGCCCTGGAGACACAGTCTCCATTAGTTCTACAAGGACAATGAAATCAATTCTGCCAAGAATTACATGAACTTAAAAAAGACCACAAGCCTCAGAAGACACCCCTGGGCCTGGCTGACACCTTGATCATAGCCTTTTATTACCCTAAGGAGAGGAGTGGGCTAACATGTGCACAGACCCCTGACCCATGGAAACTATGAGATAATATGTGCTGTTTTAAACTGCTAAATTTAAGGTAAATGGTAATGTCAAAATGGAAAATGAATATATCTGCTCACTAAAAGAAATCTCAGGCCCACTATCAGATGCCTTGTTGCAAATTCATAGAGGCAGTAGCCGGGAAGAACAAATAACATTTACAAACTTCTTTACCAGTCTGTCTTAAAGATCTTACTCTAACAATCAGATATGCCAGCTTCAACATTTCCCCGAAAGTTCCAGCTTTCCAGCTCCTTCCACAATTGTTTAATGTCTAATTACTTGAATAAACTTCTCATTTTATAATAGTCATCATGCTCCGGCTTCCATGAATGAACCTTGACTGATACAGTTATTGGTACCAGAAGTGGTACTAGGACAACAGAATCTTTTATTATATTTTCATTTTTTAAAACTTTTATTTTAACTTCAAGAGTACATGTTCAGGTATGTTACATAGGTAAACTTGTGTCATGGGGGTTTGTTGTACAGATTATTTTATCACCCAGGTATTGAGCCTAGTACTCATGAGTTATTTTTCCTGCTCTTCTCCTCCCTCCTCCCACCCTTCACCAGCAATCCCATTACTGGGTATATACCCAAAGAAATATGGCACATGTATACATATGTAACTAACCTGCACATTGTGCACATGTACCCTAAAACTTAAAGTATAATAATAATAAAATAAAAAAAAGAAATATAAATCACTCTATTATAAAGACCCATGTATTCATATGTTAACTGCAACACTACTCACAACAGCAAAGACATGGAATCAACTTAAATACCCATTAATAAGAGATTGGATAAAGAAAACATGGTACATATTCATCATGAAATACTATCTAGCCATAAAAAAGAATGAAATCATGTCCTTTTCAGGGACATGAATGGAGCTGGAGGCCATCATCCTTAGCCAACAAAACAGGAATAAAAAACCATATACCACATGTTCCCACTTATAAGTGGGAGCTAAATGATGAGAACATATGGACATAGAGAGGGAACAGAATCTTTAGAATGGGAATCTAGAATTGGTTTTATGACCTAATTAGACTTAAGAACGTTAGTGACCTTGTCACTACTGTTAAAGAGCATATTACTGGTCCAAGGCATTCAGTGACAAAACTATTTATACATCCATGGACATCTGTATGCAGGCATCCATATAAGGCAATTTTTTGGGTGACCAAATGGTTGCTGCTATAAAAATTTTTAGTTAAAAAAGGCATTTTGACATTAGTTGGTCAATTGTAAGTTTATAAGAGAACTTAGAGAAAGAAACTGATGATCTTTGGCTTTAAATTCTCATTGAAAGGTCCAGTACAAAAAAATCATAAAGCTTGTATGCTTATCCTAAAAAGAAATCTCCTGTAACCACTGGGACAAGATTTTTGAAAATCAGACCAGAAGTCTAATCCTGTGTGTGGCTAAAGTACAATTCAGATTGAATCTATAACCTCATACGGCTTCTTATGATAGGGGATTGAGCCGTTGACTGGGGAAGGAAAAGATCTTGAGACTTTTGATGAAGACCTTTAATGGGTACATTCTAATGAAGCTGAAAACATCACACCATGAACACTCTGCAGAGCCTTCTTTTCCAGTAGAAGCAGACTTTGCCCCCTTGTCTGAGTAGATTAGTCTCCTGATAGCTAAAGAATATGCATTAGATTCCCCTGAGATAGTTACCTACAAGGGACTGCCGATCCCGTGTAGGAC
Organism: Homo sapiens; assembly: GCF_000001405.40. NCBI lineage: Eukaryota > Metazoa > Chordata > Mammalia > Primates > Hominidae > Homo > Homo sapiens. The sequence continues at coordinate 39,339 of NW_017363818.1, read as the reverse complement.
CCACTCCCACCATTCACTGCTTCCAAATTTATAACTGGATTAAAGTCCTGGCAGGAAGCATGGGGTAAAATGCAAAACATGACCCATGAGAATGTTTCAGACACACCTAAATAAATGCAAGTTTCTCCCAGTTTATATTGAATTAAAAACTATCAAATACTATGGAAATGAATCCTAAGCATGCTGGATCAGGGTAGAATGAATAATTGTTTGAATCAAGCTAAATGCATTGATATAAGTGCATGTAGCAAAATCTCCAGATTTAGTGTGCTTGCTTGAATGGCCTAGAGTAGCAGTAATAGTATGCCTGAAAGGTGAACTAAAACTTAGATCCAGACATAGCCTACAATGAATATTGTTGAAATGCTGGGACTGACTTTTTTATATGTAAAGAAAGGTATCCAAGTCTTAGAAATATCAGAATTATGCACATAAATTCATTATGTAACTCTCACTGAACTATACCCTAACTCTCCTAACTCTGCTGTCCAGGAGAGTCTTGGGACTCTCCCTTCACCAGGGCTTTGAGAAACACATTAGAAAGAGAGCCCCCACACACACTTGAACAGCTCTTTGGTGACTATTCTCTGCAGGGCGGGAATGATACTAGGGGCTGCTGACATTGATCTGGACTCTCCAAATTCAGAAGGAATGATGTGATTTTACAATGGCAGAAGTAAAGTATAAGCACTTCTGTACTAGAAATAATGTGAATATATCGGTTAAAGTTCCATCACAAAAATAGAACCACTAGGTACAATATAGAATCTGAGATTTCTTATAGGATCTTGACCTTATGTGCTTAGAGAAGCTACTGAATTAGTTTAGGTTTAGTTGTTGCTTCTGCATCTCTTGTAGGGCCTAGACCACAAGATAGGGAAGCTAAAGGAAAAGATCAAGAAGAAGCGGAAGGAACATCACTTTTAGCTGCTGCCCCAGAAGATGTACATGCAAAGCCACATATCAGAGATGAAAAGGAGGAGCTCAAGCCTGAACTGGAGGAACTATCATGAACATGAATTGAAAGGTCAGCAAGAGCGTGCATGAGCTGCTACAGCACATGGTGCCCCAAGACTGGCCTTCTAAACATACACTACTATGGCTGCTCCCTCTAGTCTGCCTTCCAAATTTCATGCAAAATATTTCTAGAGAACACAAACACAAAACTATTTAAGAAGCGGAATTCTGCAGAATAGTTCCTTCTATAATGATCAGAGACAAAGCAGTGTTTTTCATAATAATTGAAACCACTGAGATCTTTGGTCTTGGCTAATTGATTATGTTATCCTTGGGACTAAAGTAAAACGGCAGCAAATCAGAATCTAGCTTTTATCAGTGAGAAAAGCTCTAGGTCAAAGAGAAATGTGTCTTTCCTTGTCAAAATAGATTTGCAGCCCCAACTGGTTCCCAAACTTGAGCCAGTTTGCTGATCCAGACTTAGTTGAATGAACAGGAAGCCAGGGCCCCTTAAGAAAGAATCCTACTACACTGCCAAAATTTATACTTCAAATCTTTCTCCTAGTCTTCCTTAGTATGATGATTAACCATTTGTCAGGATGATTTGAATAGAAGAGGGAATATCCAGACGTTTCAGGAATTATTAGACATTAGCTCTGAAATGACAGTTATTTCTGAAGACCAAAAATATCACTGTGTGTGCTCTATCAGTCAGAGTAGGGGCATATGGGGGTCATATGGTTATGAAGTTTTGACCTATGTCTATTTCACAATCAGTGCTATGGATCTCCACCCCCAACCTATGTTTATCTTCTCTATTCCATAGTGAAAAGTTGGTAGCTCAGAAACTGGCAGTCTCCACACTGGTTTCCAGACATATAAGGTGAAGTCTATTATTATAGGAAAAGTCACACAGAAGCCATTAGAATGGACTCTGTTTACCAAAATAGTAAACCAATGCAATCATACTCTTGGAGAAATTAGAAATATCATTGCCACTGTAAAGGTGATATAAAATGGAGTGGTAATCCAGACAACATGTCAATTCCACTTGCCTATCTGACCTGTGCAGAAGACAGATGGATTTTTAAAAATTAACAGAGAATTACTGTAAACTTAACTTGGTGATAGACACAATTGCAGCTATTCGAGTAGGTAAACATATTCCCAGTACCTGGTACCCAGCTATTGTTCTGGTGAATGATACTTAAAATTTAATAGCATTGACCACTAAAATTAATTTCCTTTCAGTTGGCAAGGTCAGCCTTGTTCACTGCACTAGCTCAGGGTTATATAAACTCGTAATCCCTACAGCATAATCTTGTCTACAGCATCGAACATTGCCTCTCCTTTCCTTACACTGGTCCATTTTATGGATGATATCACATAACATTGCTTGTGAACCAAGAAACTCATTTTTGGGAAACAAAGTGCCTTGTATTTATGAAATTTACTGGTGTAAATTTCCCTAGCCCTGAAACAGTCAAATTTTAGAATGGGGTTTTGAAGACTTAGTGTGCTAGTTAACACCTTGCAGGGCTGGGTTGATCACCTTCAAGATGTTGTAAATACTCTTTATCTGTGACCATGATGCTATTTTCCTTTGCAACCATATGGTCCTATTTTTCCTTAGCCGGTATTTACAGATGAGGGATTCGGTAGGTGGAAATGAGAGTAGCTAAACCCTAGTGCTCCTAATGATCACCTAGCAAAATGTTTCCCCAAATTCATAACTTCATGGGTTCTGCAGGTTTTCAAGTCTTAATTCCTAATGGAAGTAGGAGACTTCCAGCAGGTGGCATAGTAATTATGTCATTAAGGCTGCCTGGTAATTTTGGTCTCCCTGAGCCAGCAAAACAATGAGCAAAGATAGGGCTGCTGTAGTGTTGAGGTGACTGATCCCAACTATCAAAAAGAAATTACATTGCTTCTAGACAATGGAAGTGGGGGGAAATCATGTCTAGAATGCAGGAGCTCCTCTGGTGCATCTGTTAATTGTCCCATGTCCTGTGGTCAAATTTAATGGAAAACTACAAGAACTCCATGTAAAAATAAAGGTTTTGGTCATCTTCATGGACAAGAAAACATGACTAGCTGAAGTGCTTGCTGAAGGTAAAGGGAATATGGTACAGGTGTTGGAAGAAAGAAGTTATAACTGCCACCTATGATCATGTGAACAGCTTCAGAAAAATGAACTGTGCTATGAAGAGTACTTCTCTCATTGTGATGTGAGTATATTTGTATATGGATATTAACTGATTCTTTTGTTTTCCCTCATTTTTCATTTTTCCTTTCTTTTTACATTCCATAAGTCAACTTTATAACTCACTATTTAAATAACAGGATACCAAGGGAGAATGTAACTCAGCTAAAAGAGGAATAAATATCACTCAAAATATGGTTAAATTGAGACTCTATGTATCTTCTTTGGGGGAGAATATAAGTGTGCTTGAAGTCTTACAAAAAATAGCTATATCATGTTAGACAGAATCCTCATTTTGTTATTGTCTTTACATGAAAGTTAAATATAGGTTAAAAAGTGTGTATGTATGCCTATTTGATGAGGTGTGTATGTATGCCTATCCACTGTACTAGATTGTTCTCTTATCAACATGGTTATGCTGAGAACTACATTTCCCAAACTTTTCTTTTCTATATAATTCTGGATAGGAGTTTGCTAAAAATTAAGCTTTATGAGACAGAAGCAGCAGCCACCATTCTGTGAAGTCAGAGATGGTGAGAGATACAAAGGTCCCAGAAGATTCTAGTTAGCCCAGGCTCTTTCTCACTCTGTATCCAGTTTTTCTTCCCAACTGCTGGTCATGTTGACTAATAGCACCCCAGGCCCATTACCAGATGCCTTGCTCCAAACTCACAGAATTAATAGCCTTGAAGAACCACCAGTCTTCCATTGGCATTCCCTTTCCAGACATGCCTACCATCCAGATTTCCCTGCAAGCTCCAACTCATTCATCCACCCCTGGGCTGGTTACTGATGTGTCATTCTGATCTTAACTTTTTTTTTCAGACTTTTAATTATCCAGGTCCTCTCTCAAGTATATAAGGTCTATCTCCAATAATAAATGTCTTATACCATAATTCTCATAATTATTCTGCTTCCACTCAAACTCTGACTAACACACTGGCCTATAAATAAAGAGCAACGTTCCTTTCTTTTGGAAATAAGTGTTACTCTTATAATTAATGGAACACACAATATCCCTAATATCAGAGTCAATGCTAAAAACAGAGCAAACATCCATACCTCACTTCTATAAATTTGCTTACCTGACTGCACAGAGAATTCTCTAAAATCCTCTGCAAAAGTTTCCATTTCTTCTGAGAGTTTTCAGCAGCAGACTGATGAGATCCTTTTCTTGGGGTAGCAGCTGTCTGGCCAACTCAGCCACTCTGATCAATAGTATTGATTCTATCCAGGAGGCCAGAATGAATAGTATTTAAATCTATCCCAGCTTATCTGAGTGAGCCTCATTATATGTGCACCTCCTCACTTACTAAACTGGGCCAAAGAGGTCCAGAAGACAGAGGCAAAAAATGAGGAATCCAAGCATTGATATCTAGGGAAACGCTCAAGTGGAATCTACACGTCTGTAAAATATAATAGAACTGATTTAACACATAAATTATTAAAATAGTTTACCCTGGCATAGAGCCCTGAAGTAGCTGCCACTTCACTGCAAGTATTCACCAGGCTCTGAGTGAAATGTAGTCAGCACACTGAACAATCATGATTCATGGAACAAAATCAGAAAGCCATTTTATTTTATCTGTCACCATCCCTACCCATTTGTTTAGTGAGGCTCTGCCTTTTTCTGTTCCTATAGAAAATTCAGGCTCACTCTTTTATATGCATGATAATTCTTAATTTACTTTCTTTTTTTTGTTAATCCTACTAGATTATAATTATTTATTGTATTTGTCTGCTCCCTCACTCCTGCTTAATAACAGCAAACATTTACTTTGTCAGGAACTGTGTGACTTTACACTTACATCTCACAAGAGTGCTTCGAAATAAGCTCTTTTTTTTTTATTATTATACTTTAAATTTTAGGGAACATGTGCACAACATGCAGGTTAGTTACATATGTGTACATGAGGTATACCTAATGTTAAATGACGAGTTCATGGGTGCAGCACACCAGCATGGCACATGTATACTTAATTTACTTTCAATTTAAGAATTGATATGTCCCATTCTACATATGTTCAGTACTCCAAACAGCCTCAAAAGTAAGGCATCTGCTGCCTCTCCACTCCCCCACACCTCCCTGCCAGCTCTGAACTATTGTTAAAAGAAGCCTGTAGTGAAGGAAGAAGGTATAGGTGGCTTCTTTTCTCCTTACTCACCATTGTTCCACCTTTTAGCTGCATTTTGTTAGTTTCTGGCCACTCTGGGTTGAAACATGAGAAATAAAGAGGAAAAAAAGGTTAAGGAAAGTCCTTACATCAATAATGGCTTTTTCTGGACCTGGCGAATGTTTAGAGTGATGCTTCCTTTGATGCTCCCACAGAACCTGGAGCCATGCTCAGGAGTGTTCACCTGCAGTTCCTCTGATCTCTGTTCTAGTGAGTTTGGTCACTCGCTCCATTCTCAGGTGCTGAAAATCAGGCTCTTTGGTTTATCTCTGCAGATATTGCTTTGCCTCTTCAGGCAACCCTCTGGCTCATACACAGCTCTATCTTATACCTGGTCTATCACTGGTCCATGAGAAATGGTCATGCTTCCTTTCCCCCTAGTGAATGTTGGGTGCACAGTCCTCCTAGTGTAGCCATGCCTAGGCCTCTTTTGTCTGCAGCTACTCAGACTATGTCTTACTCTATTCTCAGGCAGAAATTAGACACTAGTGTGTACATCAACTCTGAGTGGCCCCAGTGAAATCCTTCTCATAGGCTCAGGGTAAAAAGCAGCCATAAATTCCCTTTTCCCTTGAGATGAGTAGGAGAACTCAATGTACTTCAGTGGCCTTCCTCAAAATCCCCTTTACAACTTCTGCTTTCATTCTCATCTTTAGCCCATTTATATCTGCTTAATGTGGATAAGAAGTGTAATTGCCTTAAACTGCCTAACCAGTTTTCAGCTACCTTTTTTTTTGAATCCTCCACTAAAAATCATCATGTTCCCTTTGGTTTTTGATACCTGTTTGCTTACATACTAGGAGAAAATTCCACTGTAAAGCACCATCTCATTAACCAATTCCTTTCTTGAATCACTAATCCTTGCATAACCTATGTCTCAATTTTTAATCTGTTCCCTCAGATTGCCCAATTACTAATTTTACTTTTTAAGGCATAATTACATTATTTCCTCAACTACTTCAAATAAATGTGTATTTTCCTTCAGATAGTTAATGACTTGCTGAATATGATTTCTATGTCTTAGCTTCATTCATTCATTTGAATATTTTCTATTAGATTATACAATGTGCAAGGCACTATGCTAAATATCAGAAAATCAAGAATTATTAATTATTAAACTATAAGTCCTGCCTAAAAAGAGATCATGCAATTGTCAGATACAAATTATTAAATGCTTATGTGGAAGATATTCTGCTCACACAGAGAAGAGTCCCTAGAGAAGATGGTGCATGAGTATAGTCTTCAAAAAAGAATAGAAGTCAAAGGGGTAAAGGGCCATTTCAGAGACAACAGGTGAAATATGTGTCAACGTAGGGAGGCATGAGAAGGGATAGAATATTGATTAGCCAGTTTTCACACTGCTGATAAAGACATTCCCGAGACTGGGAAGGAAAAGAGGTTTAATTGGACTTGCAGTTCCACATGGCTGGGGAAGGCCTCAGAATCATGGCAGGAGGTGAAAGGCACTTCTTACATGGTGGTGGCAAGAGAAAATGAGTAAGAAGCAAAAGCAGAAACCCCTGATAAACCCATCAGATCTCATGAGATTTATTCACTATGATGAGAATAGCATGGGAAAAACTGGCCCCCATGATTCAATTACCCCCACCCCAGGTCCGTCCCACAACTCATGGGAATTCTGGGAGAAACAAGTCAAGTTGAGATTTTGGTGGGGACACAGCCAAACCATATGATTCCAACCCTGACCCCTCCAAATCTCATGTCCTCACATTTCAAAACCAATCGTGCCTTGCCAACAGTCCTCCAAAGTCTTAACTCATTTCAGCATTAACTCAAATTCCATAGTCCAAAGGCTCATCTGAGACAAGGCAAGTCCCTTCCACCTATGAGCCTGTAAAATCAAAAGCAAACTAGTTACTTCCTAGATACAATGGGGTTACAGGTATTGGATAAATACAACAGTTCCAAATGGGAGAAATTGGCCAAAACTAAGGGGATACAGGGACCATGCAAGTCTGAAATCCAGTGGGGCAATTAATTTTAAAGCTCCAAAATGATCTCCTTTGACTCCAGGTCTCACATCCAGGTCACACTGATGCAACAGGTAGGTTCCCATGGTCTTGGGCGTCTCCACCCCTGTAGCTTTGCAGGGCACAGTCTCACTCCCGGCTGCTTTCATGGGCTGGCATTGAGTGTCCACAGCTTTTCAAGACGCACAGTGCAAGCTGTCAGTGGATCCACCGTTCGGGGTTCTGGAGGACTGTGGCCCTCATCTCACAGCTCCAGTAGGCAGTGCCCCAGTAGGGATTCTGTGAGGGGGCTCTGACCCCACATTTCCTTTCCTCACTGCCCTAGCAGAGGTTCTCCATGAGGGCACCGCCTCTGCAGCAAACTTTTGCCTCGGCATCCATCCAGGCATTTCCATACATCTTCTGAAATCTTGGCAGAGGTTCCAAAACCTCAATTCTTGACATCTGTGCACCCACAGGCTCAATACCACGTGGAAGCTGCCAAGGCTTAGGGCTTCCACCCTCTGCAGCCACAGCCCAAGCTGTACACTGGCCTTTTTCAGCCACAGCTGGAGGAGTTGGGACACAGGGCACCAAGTCGCTAGGCTGCACACAGCAGGGGGACCCTGGGCCTGGCCCACAAAACCACTTTTTCCTCCTAGGCCTCCAGACCTGTGACGGGAGGGGCTGCCATGAAGGTCTCTGACATGGTCTAGAGACATTTTCCATATGGTCTTGGGGATTAACATTAGGCTCCTTGCTACTTATGCAAATTCCTGCAGCCAGCTAGAGTTTCTCCACAGAAAATATGTTTTTTTTTTTTGTTTTCTATCACATTGTCAGTCTGCAAATTTTCCAAACTCTTATCCTCTGTTTCCCTTTTAAAACGGAATGTTTTTAACAGCACCCAAGTTGCCTCTTGAATGCTTTGCTGTTCAGAAGTCTTTTCTGCCAAATACCCTAAATCATCTCCCTGAAGTTCAAAGTTGCACATATCTCCAGGGCAGGGGCAAAATGCCACCAGTCTCTTTGCTAAAACATAACAAGAGTCACCTTTGTTCAAGTTCCCAACAAGTTCTTCATCTCCATCTGAGACCACCTCAGCCTGAACTTTGTTCATGTCTCTATCAGTATTTTCATCAAAGCCATTCAACAAGTCTCTAGGAAGTTACAAACTTTTCAACATGTTCCTGTCTTCTGAGCCCTCCAAACTGTTCCAATCACTGCCTGTTACCCAGTTCCAAAGTCACTTCCACATTTTTGGGTATCTTTTCAGCAACATCCCACTCCCAGCACCAATTTACTGTATTAGTCCATTTTCATGCTGCTGATAAAGACATACCTGAGACTGGGAAGGAAGAGAGGTTTAATTGGACTTGCAGTTCCACATGGCTGGGGAAGGCCTCAGAATCATGGCAGGAGGTGACAGGCATTTCTTACATGGTGGCGGCAAGAGAAAATGAGGAAGAAGCAAAAGCAGAAACCCCTGATAAACCCATCAGATCTCATGAGACTTATTCACTGTCACAAGAATAACATGGGGAAAGACTGGCCCTCATGATTCAATTATCTCCCCCTGGGTTCCTCCCACAACACATGGGAATTCTGGGAGATAAAATACAAGTTGAGATTTCAGTGGGGACACAGCCAAACCATATCACCATAGATAGTTCAGTATGCGTGGAACACATACAGTATAAGGCAGGCAATGATAATTGATGAGCTGAACAAGTATATAGAAGATATATCCTAAAGGAGTTTGTTAAAGAGTTTAAATTTTATCTTCAGGAAAATTGGAAACATCAAATTGTAAGCAGAGGTGTGTTGTATTAGATTTAAGTTTTAGAAAGGTCATTCTGACTAAAGAACTACTAATAATTGGTGGGGAAAATGGTAGTGAAATATACTATGACAAAGCATTGACATTCTCTAAAAAGATCTCATACACATATGTAAAAAGATAAACATCGCAAGAGGAGAAAAAAAGAAGGAGCCAATGAAAAAGTACTCATTGTTACATAAAAATCGGGAAAAAGCAAATTAAAAGTGAGATACTATTTTTCACACATAAGATAAAAAGCCTTTAATGTCAAAAATGATAAGGTTTAGGGGAAGTAATTTCTTGCCGTGTTATGAGAGTGTGAATTGGTAGAGTCACTTTGGAAGGCAATTTGGCAGTATCTATTAAAACAGAAAATGTGCACACCTTATGACTCAGCAGATCCTCTTCTAGATATCTTCATTATAAATACTCGTGTGTACAAGAAGGTTGGCATAGTATATTCAGAACAGCATTGTGTGGAACAATAAAAACTTAGAAACAATTGTAAAAAGATGATACAAGGTACAAAATGAGATTTTTTCCTTTTTTCTAGAACTAACTATAATATACAGCTAGGAACAAAGGCATTAAGGGCCTCACATTCTTTAAGTACAGAAAACTGTCCCATATAGGGGGACAACCCTTTCCCCTGGAGCCTGCCCACAGGCAACATTTCAGTAGAACTAACACATGACCACCACCCTCCTCCATTCCTACCCCAGGGAGCAGAACTGGGAGGAAGATAAAAGTTTCTGGGAGAGGTTCTTCCAATTCCCACAGCCAGGAAAGTAAGGGCCAGGAGAACTCCTGTGATATGGTTTGGCTGTGTCCCCACCCAAATCTCAACTTGAACTGTAGTTCCCGTAATCCCCATGTTTCATGGAAGGGACTCAGTGGGAGGTAACTGGATCATAGGCGCTGTTACCTCCATGTTCTTCTTGTGATAGTGAGTGAGTGCTTATGAGATCTGATGGTTTTATAAGGGGAGTTTCACCCTCTTTCATTCTGCATTTCTCTCTTGCCTGCCGTCATGTAAGACGTCACTTTGCTCCTCATTCACCTTCCACTATGATTGTGAGGCCTCCCCAGCCATGTGGAACTGTGTGAGTCAATTAAAAAAACCTCCCTTTATAAATTACCCAGTCTTGGGTATGTCTTTATTAGCAGCATGAGAACAGACTAATATACCCTAGGAATAGTTCAGAGATATCTAAACAAGAAAAAGAGACTGACATTTTATCTCTGCTTAGATTTTTGGTGAGTCACCAGAGATACCATGCTACAGGTACCAGGGAACAAACATAAAGGAGAGGTGGCTTAGATGGGCAGCCACAGAGGTTCGGGACACTGACAGTGCCCTCCAATTCCAAGTTCCCATAGGTGTAAAAAGTAGATGCTGTGATGATGAGCATTTTTTCGTGTGTCTCTTCTTTTGAGAAGTGTCTGTTCATATCCTTCACCCACTTTTTGATGGGGTTGTTTGTTTTTTTCTTGTAAATTTATTTGAGTTCTTTGTAGATTCTGGGTATTAGCCCTTTGTACTAGAACTGAAACTCCTTTTAAAATAATTGTGCAAACTCAATATACTCGGTGTCCAACAATAAGAGAAAGGATAAACAAATCTGTATGTACAGACACTATGAATCCAGATAGGAATGAAGGGGCTCAATATTATCAATATGGAATTTCAAAAACATGTTGACTGAAGAAGTAAAGATTTGAAGAACAATGCAGACACAAGACTATATACTTTTTGTAGATGCATTTGTATCCATATGTGGGTATGTATGTATAATTTTTAGAAGTTTCCTTCTCAAACTCATGTTAGTTTTTAATTTGCAGAAGAAGTATAAATAAAAATGGAAGGATCAAAGTTGGGACACTCTAGCTTGATGTACAATGTTCTTTTTTATTAAAAGGGATAGGATAGAATGTTTTCCTATATTACTTGTATAAATGAACCAACTTACAAACATTTAAAATACTGAGAGCAATTTTGCCAAAATAAAAGCAGTGGTTAATTCTGTGTGATGAGTATTTGAGTGACTGTCATTTTCTTCTTTGAATTTTTTTATATTTTTAAACAACTGTACCCTCCAAGGAAGGAATAAAGGAAGATAAATAAATAGTAAATTAATTCACAAAAAAACAAAAGTGTCAATGTGAAAAATGTTAATCAACCTTATTAGATTATATAAATTCTAATTAAATAACAATGAGATATTATTTCCCAACATATTGATTTTTTAAATTATGATAATCAAGGTAATCATATATGGCAAGTAGGAGTATATATTTACATGTTCCTCTGGGCAGCAATTTGGCAAGAAGTATAATGGGCCCTTCAAAGACTTTATGACAATGTATGCATAAAACATTTCTAAAAGATTATATGGCAAAATATTAACTGCATGAATCTTTAAGTCTAAGAATTATGGATATTTGCTTGTCCATATTAATATGTTTTTCTATAATAAACATTGTTATTTATGTCATATGTATACATATGTAGATTCACATATTTAAATATTATACTCTTTTACTTAGTAATTCTACACGTAGGAATCTATTGTAAGGAAATAATAGGAGATTTGTTAAAGATTTAGTACAAAAATATCCATGGAAACACTATTCATAACAGCTTAAAGCTGGAAACAACCTTCATACATAACAATAATAGAATGTTTAAATACATGTAAACACAACCGCATGATAGAATAGAAAAATAAAAATGTCCTTTATGAAATGGTGTTTTCAAAACACATTGAATTTCATAGGGGAAATTATTCTGATAGAGTGTTGTGAGAAAGAGAAATGAAAGACAATTAGAGATGAATTAACAGATTGTCAAGGGGTCTAACCAACTTTAAAATCCATGCATTTGTAAAGGCATCAATCAGGCTAGCAGAAGGATTTTTCTCTGATAGTATTTAATATCCCAGACACAGAAGAACAGAAGACGGGCATCCACTGGAAAGCTAAACCAATGCCAAATGTAATAAACCCTGTCTTTTCCAGGGCTTTGAGTTGTTGTTTTTAACTACTCTGCCAAAAGCACCCTAATTCTCAAAAGACCAGTCACCAGTAGGTTCTGAAATCCCACTGCCTTGAAAGCACCTCCACCCACCAAACTTGCCATCCTGCTGTCACATGTAGAAATGACAAGGCTTTGGTGTCTGCAGTAGGCCAATACCTTTGTTTGTGGGTATCTGGAAGAACTTTGAGAACTCTCTGACTGAACTCCCAAGCGTCTGCAAGGCAGAGTATTTACAGGGTTATTATTCTTATTGTATTTTCTCAAGCAAGATCCAAAACCAAATATTTCACCTTCTCTGCCATGTCATTGTTCAAGCAGAAACGTTGAAGTCCCTCCCATTTCATTGTCTTTGTTCTTCTAGTTGTTGTTTTGATTTGTCTCGATTTACCTCCTTACTAAATAGCTATGTGAGACAAATATTTTAGATTAAACTCAGTACTTTCTGGCAACATGACTGAATTCCATTCATCCAAGGGGGTATGCAAACTATAAACTTCGGACTCAAACTTCCTTCTTTCCTTTGAAGATACTGCAGGGTGCTCACAATCGCCAAACAGAATTCAAGCCAGACACAAATGAAGATCTTCAGGTGAATCTTTCTTTTTTTTTTTTTTTTTAATTATACTTTAAGTTCTAGGGTACATGTGCACAATGTGCAGATTTGTTACGTAGGTATACATGTGCCATGTTGGTTTGCTGCACCCATTAACTCGTCATTTACATTAGGTATTTCTCCTAATGCTATCCCTCCCCCATCCCCCCACCCCACGCCAGGCCCCGGTGTGTGATGTTCCCCACCCTGTGTCCAAGTTTTCTCATTGTTCACTTCCCACCTATGAGTGAGAACATGCGGTGTTTGGTTTTCTGTCCTTGTGATAGTTTGCTCAGAATGATGGTTTCCAGGTGCATCCATGCCCCTACAAAGGACATGAACTCATCGTTTCTTATGGCTGCATAGTATTCCATGGTGTATATGTGCCACATTTTCTTAATCCAGTCTATCATTGATGGACATTTGGGTTGGTTCCAAGTCTTTGCTATTGTGAGTAGTGCCACAATAAACATACGTGTGCATGTGTCTTTATAGTAGCATGATATATAATCCTTTGGGTATATACCCAGTAATGGGATGGCTGGGTCAAATGGTATTTCTAGTTCTAGATCCTTGAGGAATAGCCATGCTGTCTTCCACAATGATTGAACCATTTACACCAACAGTGTAAAAGCATTCCTATTTCTCCACATCCTCTCTAGTATCTGTTGTTTCCTGGCTTTTTAATGATCGCCATTCTAACTGGTGTGAGATGGTATCTCATTGTGGTTTTGATTTGCATTTCTCTGACCAGTGATGATGAGCATATTTTCATGTGTCTGTTGGCTGCATAAATGTCTTCTTTTGAGAAGTGTCTGTTCATATCCTTTGTTCACATTTTGATGGGGTTGTTAGATTTTTTTCTTGTAAATGTAAGTTCTTTGTACATTCTGGATATTAGCCCTTTGTCAGATGGGTAGATTGCAAAAATTTTCTCCCATTCTGTAGGTTGCCTGTTCACTCTGATGGTAGTTTCTTTTGCTGTGCAGAAACTCTTTAGTTTAATTAGATCCCATTTGTCAATTTTGGCTTTTGTGGCCATTGCTTTTTGTGTTTTAGTCATGAAGTCCTTGCCCATGCCTATGTCCTGAATGGTATTGCCTAGGTTTTCTTCTAGGGTTTTTATGGTTTTAGGTCTAACGTTTAAGTCTTTAATCCATCTTGAATTGATTTTTGTATAAGGTGTAAGGAAGGGATTCAGTTTCAGCTTTCTATACATGGCTAGCCAGTTTTCCCAGCACCATTTATTAAATAGGGATTCCTTTCCCCATTTCTTGTTTTTGTCAGGTTTGTCAAATATCAGATAGTTGTAAATGTGTTGTGTTATTTCTGAGGCCTCTGTTCTGTTCCATTGGTCTATATATCTGCTTTGGTACCACTACCATGATGTTTTGGTTACTATAGCCTTGTAGTATAGTTTGAAGTCAGGTAGCGTGATGCCTCCAGCTTTGTTCTTTTTGCTTAGGATTGTCTTGGCAATGCAGGCTCTTTTTTGGTTCCATATGAACTTTAAAGTAGTTTTTTCCAATTCTGTGAAGAAAGTCATTGGTAGCTTGATGGGGATGGCATTGAATCTATAAATTACCTTGGGCAGTATGGCCATTTTCACGATATTGATTCTTCCTATCCACGAGCATGGAATGTTCTTCCATTTGTTTGTGTCCTCTTTTATTCCATTGAGCAGTGGTTTGTAGTTCTCCTTGAAGAGGTCCTTCACATCCCTTGTAAGTTGGATTCCTAGGTATTCTATTCTCTTTGTAGCAATTGTGAATGGGAGTTCTCTCATGATTTGGCTCTCTGTCTGTTATTGGTATATAGGAATGCTTGTGATTTTTGCACATTGATTTTGTATCCTGAGACTTTGCTAAAGTTGCTTATCAGCTTAAGGAGATTTCAGGCTGAGACGATGGGGTTTTCTAAAGGATACAATCATGTCATCTGCAAACAGGGACAATTTGACTTCCTCTTTTCCTAATTGAATACCCTTTGTTTCTTTCTCTTGCCTGATTGCCCTGGCCAGAACTTACAACACTATGTTGAATAGGAGTGGTGAGACAGGGCATCCCTGTCTTGTGCCAGTTTTCAAAGGGAATGCTTCCAGTTTTTGCCCATTCAGTATGATATTGGCTGTGAGTTTGTCATAAATAGCTCTTGTTATTTTGAGATATGTTCCATCAATACCTAACTTATTGAGAGTTTTTAGCATGAAGGGCTGTTGAATTTTGTCAAAGGCTTTTTCTGCATCTATGAGATAATCATGTGGTTTTTGTCATTGGTTCTGTTTATGTGATGGATTACATTTATTGATTTGCGTATGTTGAACCAGCCTTGCATCCCAGGGATGAAGCCAACTTGATCTTGGTGGATAAGCTTTTTGATGTGCTGCTGGATTTGGTTTGCCAGTATTTTAATGAGGATTTTTGCATCAGTGTTCATCAGGGATATTGGTCTGAAATTCTCTTTTTTTGTTGTGTCTCTGCCAGGCTTTGCTATCAGGATGATGCTGGCCTCATAAAATGAGTTAGGGAGAATTCCCTCTTTTTCTTTTGATTGGAATAGTTTCAGAAGGAATGGTACCAGCTCCTCTTTGTACCTCTGGTAGAATTTGGCTGTGAATTTGTCTGGTCCTGGACTTTTTTTTGGTTCGTAGGCTATTAATTGAGAATCTTTTTTTTAAATTTAAACTGTTACTTTAGGTTCAGGGGTACATGTGCAGGTTTGTTATATAGGCAAACTCATGTTGTGGGGTTTTGTTGTACAGATTATTTCATCACCCAGGTACTAAGCTTAGTACCCCATAGTTAAGGCAAATTCATTTTGTGGGGAATTGTTGTACAGACGATTTCATCACCCAGGTACTAAGCCTAGTATCTATTAGTTATTTTTCCTAATCCTTTCTCTCCTTCCACCCTCTATCCTCAGGTAGGCCCCCATATGTGTTTTTCCCTTCTTGGTGCCCATGAGTTCTCATCATTTAGCTCCCAGTTACAAGTGAGAACATGAAGTATTTGATTTTCTGTTTCTGGGTTAGTTTGCTAAGGATAATGGCCTCCTGCTCCATCCATGTCCCTGCAAAAGACATGATCTCATTCTTTTTTATGGCTGCATAGTATTCCGTGATGTATATGTACCACATTTTCTTTATCTAGTCTATCATTGATAGGCATATAGTTTGATTTCATGTCTTTGCTATTGTGAATAGTGCTGCAATGAACATTCACACGCATGTGTCTTTATTGTAGAACAATTTATATTTCTTTGGGTATATACCCAGTAATGGGATTGCTTTTGTTTGTTTGTTTGTTTTAGGTCTTTGAGGAATTGCCACACTGCTTTCCACAATGATTGAACTAATTTATACTCCCATAAACAGTGTGCAAGTGTTCCCATTTTCCCACAACCTCAGCAGCATCGGTTATTTCTTGACTTTTCAATAGTAGCTACCCTGATTGATGTAAGATGGTATCTCATAGTGGTTTTGATTTCCATTTCTCTAATGATCAGTGATATTGAGCTTTTCTTCATGTTTCTTGGCCACATGAATGCCTTCTCTGGAAAAGTGTCTGTTCACGTCCTATGCCCAACTTTTAATGGAGTTTTTTTTTTTTGTAAATTTGCTTAAGTTATTTATAGATGTTGGATATTAGGCTTTCGTCAGATGCATAGTTTGCAAATACTTTCTCCTGTTCTGTAGGTTGTCTGTATACTCTTGTTGATAGTTTCTTTTGCTGTACAGAAGCTCTTTAGTTTAATTCGATCCCACTTGTCAGTTTTTGCTTTTGTTGCGATTGCTTTCAGCCTCTTCATCATGAAGTTTTTTCCTGTTCTTATATCCAGAATGGTATTGCCTGGGTCATCTTCCAGGGTTTTTAAAGTTTGGGGTTTTACATTGAAGTCTTTAATCCATATTGACTTGATTTTTGTATTGGTGTAAGGAAGGGGTTCAGTTTGAATTTTTTTCATATGGCTAACCAGTTATCCCTGCACCATTTATTGAATAGGGAGTCCTTTTCCCATTGCTTGTTTTTGTCATCTTTGTCAAAGATCAGATGGTTGTAGGTATATGACCTTATTTCTGGGCTGTCTATTCTATTCCATTGGTCTATGTATCTGTTTTTGTACCAGGACCATGCTGTTTTGGTTACTGTAGCCCCACAGTACAGTTTGAAGTCAGGTAATGTGATGCCCTCAGCTTTGTTCTTTTTGCTTAGGATTGCCTTGCTTATTTGGGTTCTTTTTTGGTTCTATATGAATTTTAAAGTAGTTCTAGTTCTGTGAAGAATGTCATTGGTAGTTTGATAGGCATAGCATTGAATCTGCAAGTTGCTTTGGGCAATGTGGTTATTTTAATGATATTGAATCTACCTATCCATAAGCATGGAATGTTTTTCATGTTTCTGTAATCTATTTCTGTAATTTGTTTCTGTGATCTCTTATTTCCTTGATCAATGTTTCGTAATTCTCATTATAGTGATTTTTCACCTCCTTGATTAGCTCTATTTCTAGGTATTTTATTCTTTTTATGGCAATTGTGAATGGGATTGTGTTCCTGATTTGGCTCTCAGGTTGGCTGTTGTTGGCGTATAAAAATGCTAATAATTTTAGTAGATCAATTTTTTGTCCTGAATCTTTACTGAAGTTGTTTATCAGCTGAAAGAGTGTTTGGTCCAAGACTATGAGGTTTTCTAGATATTGAAGCATGTTGTCTACAAACAGGGATAGTTTGACTTCCTCTCTTCTTATTGGGATGCCTTTTATTTCTTTCTCTTGCTTGATTGCTCTGGCCAGGACTTCCAATATTATGTTGAATAGAAGTAGTGAGAGAGGGCATACTTGTCTTGTGCCAGTTTTTAAGGGGAATGCTTCCAGCTTTTGTCCATTCAGTATGGTGTTGGCTGTAAGTTTGTCATTGTTGGCTCTTACTATTTTGAGGTATGTTCTTTCAATACCTAGTTTATTGAGAGTTTTTAACATGTAGGGATGTTGAATTTTATCAAAAGCCTTTTCTGAATCTATTGAGGTAATCATTTTTTTTATCTTTAGTTCTGTTTATGTGATGAATCACATTTCAAAGCATGTATTCTAGTATTTTTTAATAGTTTCCAGTCTTATATTTAAGTCTTTAATCCATCATGAGTTAGTACTTATATATGGTGAGTGATAGGGACCCAGTTTTATTCTTCTGCATATGACTATCCAATTTCCCTAGCACTATTTATAGGGTGTCTGTTCCCCCAGTATATGTTTTTGTCTTTGTCAACTTTGTTGAAGGTCAGTTGACTTTAGGTATGTGGCTTTATTTCCAGGTTCTCTATACTATTCCATTCATTTGTGTGTGTATTTTTATGCCAATACTATGCTGTTTAGGTTACTATAGCCTTGTAAAATTTGAAGTCAAGTAATATAATTTAAAAAAAAATTAAAACAATGCACATATTATGTTCAAGTCTCACCCTTTAGTATACTGATTCAAAATTCTGTGAGGTAAATAGTTGTTTTAGTACAGTTGTGTTAAATAAGGCTAATCTAGTTACCTTGCCATATTTCTCCTTCAGAAAAAGATTTATAGCCATATTCTAGGAGATATTCTACTTTCAGAGCTGGCCCTAACATTTTGATCTTGGACTGGGGCTCCTAGCTGGGTCCTACTTTTAGATGAGCCTATTTAAAGTCCCCTAAGCTTTGGTTTCCCTCTCCTACTTCAGAGTTTACACAGAGAATTCGTAGAATACTTCAAGTGCTGCCACCTCCTAAATGATCACTTCATATTCCATAAGCTCCTCAACACCTTCCCACTGCAGAATAACTGTGGTTTCTGCTCCTACCAAGCCCCCACATAACTAAACCTCATCATCAAGAGCACCCATAGCTCTCTGGAGTTTGGGCCCATCCTGACTCTGTAGTTTTGGATACCAAAATTCCAAAACCACTATGAACAGCATGCACTTGGCTCTGCTTACAAAGAAGATTCAAATGCATGCCATTAATTCACACATTCAGTTTTCTGAATATCCATGACTTATTCCTCACTTCTTTCTGTTGATTTCCCAAGTTGCCATGCAGCCTGAACTGTCATGTCCACGAGTCGCTTTAGCCGAATACATGTTCCAGTATTACTGAACTCACATCTTTATCCTTGTCATTGCCATTTTAAGATAATGAGTAATTTGAACATGTTTATAGGATGAAGGGAAGAAGTTAGTGGAGGACAAGAGAATGAAGAATCAGAAAATATGGGAAATATTGATGAAACTGAGTTCCTCTTTGTGGGATGGAATTAAACCTGGAGCAAAAGTAGAATTGATATCACGCAGCGTTGGGAATAAAATGTGCTTAGGGAAAGACTTGAGCACTGAATTCTGAATCTCCCAATTATGTTCTTGGCTGTTCACTTAACACTAACTCTCTTCATTACACCTCAAGGAAAATTAATGGACAAGAAAAATAAAGGGACCTGGCTTCATTATCATTCCCTCTATTTTCTGATTTTGTATCCTCTCTTCCTCTACTAGTTCGTTCACGATAGTCTAAAATCATGTTCAAGTTATTTATTATCTAACTTGACAACTAGAATCACAGCAAGGGCAAAGATGTGACTTGGGTAAAACACAGGTAAGTGCTGTCATTTGATTACTATGAGGCTTTGATTCAAAAGCTCAGCACAGCAGCCTGTTTGGCTGGACTTGTCCTTATGTAATATTTTTTGCTTGGCTAAAGATGAGCCTGAAACCTTGAAGCCAAACAGATTGAACCCCCTTTGTTTCTGTCTCTATAAACTCATGCCTGAATTCTAAGCCGCTCTGTCATAAAATTCTGATGAAAGGAAAAAGTGGTCCAAGCAGAACCTGTAGCCAGGGAGAAGAGACAAGCAAAATAATATAAGAGAGTTTACAAATGCCTAGAGCAGAGATGATATAGGCTTTATGCCACACAACTTTGTAATAGAAGGGGCAGCTTCCAAAGCTTCTGGGCTCCAGGCTTTGTGGGGAAAATCCAGAGGGAACAAAGAAGAGCACAAGAGAAAGAGAAAAGGATGTCAGAATCTTTATCCAAGGATTTCTGCCAAAGAAGGAAAGAGACACAAGAGAAACAAAACCCTAAAGCTGAGTTTTCTTTAGAAAGCTCTTGGGCAAAAGAAGATACAGACTTATTTACATTCTTCCTAAGACTCCATCCTTTGAAAAAGTATAGTCCAATGAGGTTCTTGGAACTGACAATTTAAGGCATTTTTTTTCCTCCTCCGGAGTTGTTGTAAACTGCTACTTGTCTGACAAGTAGATGTTAACCTTTTCCTCAGACATAATAGGAAAAGAAATAAGTTTAGGTGAGACTGTTGGTAAAAGTTGAAGCCAACAGTATAGTTCTTAGAATGAGTTCGGAAACATGTCTTACTCTAGAGGACATATTACAAGCAAAGTACAAGTGTATCCAAATTACTTTTTTTGAGGTTTAAGGGATTTATTTTTTAAAATTACAAATAATTGCACTTGATGAAAACCAAAGCCATCAACTATAGAGACTATGCTTTAACTCTGACTTAGGTTCCTGCTATACAGAGAAGAACCTACCAGGAAATGGGGTGGCAGGTGCAAGTGAAAAAGCAGCCATCATTAAAGTCCAAGGTCTGGGGCAGGATGGGAATTGGGCTCAGAGCAGCCTCAGCCAGAGCTACCCCTGCAGCCACACTGAAGACCCTTGATGATCACTCCCTCATGCAGCTTCAAGCCCAGCAAATGAAGTGGGTTCCAGAGTTGGCACCTTGAATATATCATAGGCAGCACAGGTCCGCATAACCTTCTCTGTTCCATTTGGCAATCAGACTTTCATCTGCATAGCCTTCTTTTAATGTGGAATTTATATAGCTATTGGCCTGTGACTTTCTGTTTTCAAAAGAGGTTGTATATGTTGCAAGTTTTCTGAAGATGGGCCAGAGGTTTTCACATTACTCTTTCCTTTCTAAGGTTCAGTTTTAGCTTCTTTCATCTTCTAACTCATCCAGTGTCAGCTCAACAAACCCTTAGCCATCTAGAAGAACTTCCCAGCTTCCTTTGACTTTGAGGATTTTTTTTTTCACAAGATGATTTGCAAAGATGCTATGTCATTTGGAAGGTCACATTCTCTCTGTGGTCATTATTCTCCTCATTGGATGTCTATCACCTTCATCTACCATTTCATAATCAAAACATATATTTTTTAAATTAATTAAAGCACATTCAAGGTTAGCCTTATAATAATCTCCATGTCACCAATTAATAGCTTTCTGGAGTGGAAAAGCAAATAGTAAAGTTAGTGTGAAAATAGTAAAGTTAGTGTTCTGTTCATAAAAGAGGTTTCCTTCTTATAAAATCAGGAAAGCTGGGGCTTTTCCGAGTCTCAAGCCCAGCCCAAGGGAGTGGTTTCTGTAACACCATGATCATTATTTGTGTAGCTTGTTAAAAAAAGAATTGATCTAACACAACCGTCAGAAATTTATAAATGAGAAGCAGAGAAATAAGGTGATTTACCACATGTCAAGGAGTAAATTAAAGGTAGAAAGGGGATTAGATTCTCAGAAACTCCAGTTTAAGCCATTTCCACTATAAAGCTGTACTATGTAAAAAGTTAACCAAAACATGGGAAGGCTATAAAGTAGCAAAGTGAAGGGTAAGAGTTGGCTTGTCAAAGCTTGGTTAGAATGGAGAGTTAGAACTTCAAATTTCTCCAGGTCTCCTACCCAAACCCCATAATGATAACTTGTCCCTGTAAACTAACCTGTCCCTGTAAACTAAATTGTCTAATATATTTTGGACTCTTAGAATTAGAGAACACTTAATATATATTCTGAGTAATAAGAAAGAGCTTGTGATTTTTGCTTTGACCTGCCATTCATTTTAATTTGACTAAGCTACTCTTAACACATAATTCAGATAATGCTGAAATGTCAGTACATTTCCCTATTCAGAAAGCTCCTTAATGTGCTGTTCATTCATTCTCCACATTATCATAAGAAAAGCCTTTCAATTTACCAAAGGAACAACAACTAGTGGAAGCACCAGTCTTCCTGTAAGTGAGAAAATCATTAGCTTTTCCCACCAAGTAATTATTGCCAATATCTCTAGTGAGTAGCAAATTCCCCTTCACAAAGCTATTATTAGTGTCCTTCTGAGGTCAGAGGCATGAAGATTGAGGAGTAGGAATGACATATTTCAATGTAACCTTTAAAAGTCCCCTTTGAAAGATTTTGTGTAAAAGAAAAATCTCCAAAGACCTGAACTATTGCCAGTCAGTAAACAGTCACTAGTCATTCCCTTTGAAGTCTCCCCTTAGGGGCAATTTAATGAGTGAGAAGAAGAGCATTTGTCAGGATTTCCTACTTGATCTTTTGATCTCCTCATAAGCAGGTTCATAACAGATTTGTCTCCAAAACACAGGGTGAAGGAAAAGCCCTGTTACTGGTTATTGCTGTCATAAAATTAAGCAACATTAATAACTGCAGCTTATACTATATGTTTATGAAAAAAATTAGACAAAGTGTCTCATTTGTTATTGACAACAACCCTGAGAACAAAGGTGGTGCTATTACTACCATTTATAAATGAAGACTCAGGCAGATAGACTGGGACTGAAAATAGGTTACATACTGATTATGCATCAAATTCTGTTTGCAGCAATTTCTGGTACTGATGGGCACTCTCCAAACCTGGAACAATATTTCACTATGACAATTACAGCCTACAGCTGGAGGTTACTAATTTTTGCTCATTTATCTTACAAAATAATTTTGAAAGCTATGTAACCTATCATACAGTTTTATATTATGACCAAACATTTCTATCATAAGATCAAATAACTATAAATTACATAATTCCTAGCATATTGTAAATATTTACTTTTTTAAATAATAGTTTCTTTGTGTTTTTAATATAGCCAAAGAAATTTAAATCCTGATTCTCTGACACATGTCTTTATCTGTTTATATATCACATGAAATAGGTCTTCTGTAACATTTAGAAAATTGCATCATTTCATTTCCTTTTGAATACATATACTTCTTTCACTTTCTAAATGAATTTTGCCTTTCTGTAGTACATTTTTCTATACAAAATATTGTTATATTGTCATTTGATCATACATTTTATAATGAAAACATATAGCTGCACAATATATTTTTTGAATTTTCTATAATCATAGAAATCATGTTAAATCCATGCCCTTGGATTAAAACATGAACATTTATTAGTAAAAAATTGATTTCATAAAAATATTAACATTAATAAAGAATTTTTAATATAAATATTAAAATTTTATTTAAAATTCATTCCAATGAGGTGGAAGGGGGTTATGGTAGACAGCATAATAACCCATTCACAAATGTTCATGTTCTAATCCCCATAATCTGTAATTATGTTACTTTACATGGTAAAAGGACTTTTCAGATGCAATTAAATTAAAGATCTTGAGATGGAGTGATGATCCTGGATTATCTGGGAGGATCCAACATAATCACAAGAGTCCTTATAAGAGGAGACGAAAGGGTCAGAGGCAGAAAAAGAAGCTGTGATGACACAGCAGGTATTGGAATGATGCACTTTGAAGACTGAGATGAGCCAAGGAATGCAGGTGACCTCTGGGAGCTGGAAAAGGCAAGGAAAGGGATTCACCTCTGGGGCATTCAGAAGGAACACAGCCTTGCAGATACCTGGATTTTAGCCTTGTAAGACTCATATAGACCCCTAACCTGCAGAACTGTAAGATGTTGAGTTTCTGCTGTTTTAAGCAAAGAAGCTTGCAGTAATTTGTTACAGCAGCTATAAGAAACTAATACAAACAATTACATAAAAGTATGTCTTTTTCTTTGGATGATTATGATTTATTACTAGAATAAGAAAGGATTGAGCATTCATTTTATGCCTACTTTTCAATTTATATACATAAATTATATATATAATATATAACTCAATTTATATGAAGTACACACACACACACACACACACACACACACACACACACACATATGGAAAGTCAGCATAAAATGGATATACATATATGCCAGAAGAAGTCTATTCCTAAAGATAGAAATTGAGCAATGGTAGTCATTCCTTTGAACCTCTTCTGAGTTACACAACAAAAATTACAAACTGATATAAGATCAAAAGGTGTCTTTAATGATCTATCAGTTAACATTTTAATTGTGTCATACTGTGGTCAGGGCTGGGGGAGACAAGCAAGGAGGCACTCTTTTGGGGTCATGCAAGAGCAGGGTGGGCACTTGCATGGCTCTGAAACTGAATGCCTTCTTAAGATTTTCTCTCAAAGTGTCTCGTTTACCTCACCCTGGTCATGAAGTTGGGTCCTACTTGAATTTTATAAGAAACAAAGAACCACAACACAATACAACAACAATACACATCTGAGATGTGTATCAAAAAAATATACCGAGACTAATACATGTCTATTATGTTTTTTCTGGAAACTTTTAATTTAAAGACATCTGGCTTAATTTGATAGACTTAGATTATTGGGAAAAAATAAAATAATGTTAATTTTAATGCATTTTTAAAATATTACATTTTGGATTAAGAGCTTTTATGTTTTCTTGTGCTTGAAATATATTTTGGAAAATGTTGGAGCTGAACATTTGGTTCATGGGAAATGCCTGCATATAAATTAATTAGCAAAAGCAATTAGGCAAATAAGACATATTTTATGTGAGAAAGAATGTCATTATGTATCTACTTTTAACTTTTTTAATTACTTAATTTTTAATTCAGATAAACTTGTCAATATATATCCCCATGATGACTATTTTACTTCTTGATCCTAAATTAGTCTGGGACAGCAGGCATTGGGGGATCAAGTAGCTAAGATATTTAGTCAGTATAAGGGCAATGACAATTATAAGAATTTAGGAGGAAGACGTCTTATTTTTACAGCAGTATAGAACAGGAGAACGAAACTGGAGAATGTAGATTCTAGCAGTCAATTGCAATTTAAGGCATGCTTTCAAAGCTAGAGTCTCTATGTCAGATTTAAAGAAGACTCATATCCTGAAACTGCAGAAAATACCTAATTTATGGTGCTTATAGAACCGAGATCTAGGGGCAGCCAAGGAGGGTACTAATCACTATGTATAGGGAGAGGCAGAGGGAGAGGAAGAGGAAGCGGAAGCAAAAGACTTAGATCAGCTGTGACAATACAAAAAATGTAGGGTTTCTTGATTTTAGATTGAAGTCAGTTCATGAAGCCAGAACCCATTGATCAAAGTGGAGGATGGTTGCTTTTGAAAAGGACCATAAGTATATGCAATAAGTATTCCTTTTCTCAAATTCTTCAGTTTCCCAGGTGATTGTGCATTAGAGATGTTTTAAACTATGAGATACTGTGAGATATAACCTCCTAGGTTTACAGTGGGACTTAGAAAGGTCAGGTGATTAGGACTGAGACCAGGGTAAGGTGAATGAGATGCATAGGAAACAAATGTTAAGAAAGCACTCACTCTCATTGTTATGCAAGTGCAGGGTTTGTACTTGCACAGCCCTGAGAATAATTTTCTCCTCAGATTTTGTTCCCTAAGTGTTTTGCTTGCCTCACCTAATTCTTGACCCTGCATGTAGCATGGAATTTTGAACCCAATCTCTCATATTATGTCCAATTCATGTGAACCCACCTTGTAGTTATCTTCAGGTTTCTTACATGTAAAATTAGGATTGATATACGTAACACCTGGCAGGAACTTATGTCGCTTTTCTGATTTGTGGAGTAAGGGCCATCATAAAAGAGTCAAGTGGAAAGCCCTCAACATGCCCTATTTCTCCTGTGCCAAGAAAATAAAGGAAACAGAGCAATTCAGGAAAAACTGAAGATTAGGATCACTAAAATTTAACAAATACAAGAGACTTACTATACCCATATTCAATTCATCTCTCTAGTCTCTGCAAAAAAGCAGATGAGTTGTAGCAAATGATAGTGAAATACTATAAACATAACCAAGTGTTGGTTCCAATTTCAGATGCTGTTCAAAATGTGGCCTAGTCTTTACTGTAATAGATTAACACAATTTATGTTGCATAATTTATAGTGACTTTGTAAATGATGGTTTTTCTTGTTCACCATCATCAGGAAGACTCAAAAATTGTTCACCATTACACAATAAAGACAACAATACACTTCTACTGCCTTTTACTCTCTTGGCCCAAGGCAGTGTAATTTTCTTCTCTTTGTCATAAAGTAGTTCTATGGGAACCTTAATCATCTTGAAGTTCTTCACAGAATGAGAATTTAACCCAATCAGTAGAGAATGAATGTGGTAAAGTTTTCAAGCGTCATATATGGTCCAGAAGATACAGAGATATTCCCTCTGAGGTCAATGCAACTGTTACACTTCACATCTCTCACAGCATGTTATGAGCTTTTTGAAGGAGGACAGGGGATTTTGGAGACCGCATTCATCATACTTAGAAAACTGCTCCAATCCATGTATTGAATGAAGAATCCTTCAAGTTTCAAGTGTGGTCAAGAACAAAGGAAATATTTGCAGCATGTCTAGGATACAGTATAATCTGTCCAACCTCAAATCATAGAACGCATTAGATTCAATAGTGCTAGACCAGTTTCTCAACCTCAGTACTATTCACATTTTGAGCTTGATTATTTTTTGTTGTTGTGGAGAAAGAAGTATCCAGTGTATGGTAGGATGTTTAGCAGCTTCTCTGGTTTCTACCCACTGGATGCCAGTAGCAATCCCTATTCAAATTATGACAACCAAAAACATCTCCAGATAGCTACAACTTCCTCCTGGGAGATAAAATAGCCCCCAGTTGAGAAATACTGTGCTAGAGTGACACGTAAGGATCCTTATCTTGTCAAACCCCAATAGACGATAATAGAGTACAGATCTCTTGGTTTCTGGAGTAAAATTATGCCCTCCACATCACGAGATTACTTTTGGTTTGAAAAAATAACCTTGGCATGCTACTTGAATCTAACTGAGACTGAGTATTTGAATATGGAATGCCAAATGAATACATGGCCTGAGAAGCCATTATCTGATCCATTTTATCAGATAATATTTGTGGGCACAGCAAAAATACATTATGTAAGAGAAGTCATACATTCAGGATCAGGCTTGAGTATATACTGATGATATAATTAAATTACAGAAATAGGCAGTCTATGGCATCTACCTCTGATGCACTGGTACTTCTTGCTTAAAGCACACCAATTGCACCATAGAATGGGGATTCCCTATGGCCAGCTGATGCATGCTGACTTGGGCATCATTCAAAAATGTATTGAAGTAATGCTTATCAATTACTGGGAATTGACATCTTCTACAATACAGCCCCATTTAGTGAGGATTGTAGCATTGGGAAATCCTTCTTGTAGTCAGGGGTATGAGCAACACAGTTGACTACCCACTTCATTTGGAGGGAGCTTGGTCTGAGGTTAGAATGTGCAATGACTTTTGGGAAAAGGCAACTAGCCTACTAGTGTTCCAGGAGTAATAATACTGAAAAATGAAGGATGAGAAAGCCTTTAGAAGAAGTATGTGAGTGAGAATTTTGGAGTAGGCACACAGCATGCAAAATTTTGTGTTTCATATTAATCACCTAAACGAACTCAGGAATTTCTCAACAGCCAGTTGGACATGATGACATGTCCCATGGGTATCAGCCAGTCTTTCATCTTAACCACCTCAGGGCTCACATAATGGCCTCATGAGCCAACTTAACATGAGGATGAATGGTATGCACAGGACCAAGAGCGTCACCTCTTTTCCAACAATGTCACAGCTGCTGTTCAAGCCCCAACTGCCTACAGTACAGAATGACACTGTGCACTCAATATGGCAACACCCCTTGAAAACAATAGCCGGTTGCTTTTTTTAGTCTGTTCTCACATTGCTATAAAGAACTACCTGAGACTGGGTAATTTATAAAGAAAAGTTTAATTGACTCACAGTTCTGCAGGCTGTAAAGGAAGCACAGCTGCTTCTGTTTCTGAGGAGAACCTCGGGAAGCTTCCAATCATGGCAGAAGGCAAAGGGGGAGCGAGCATCTCCCATGGCAGGAGCAAGAGAGTGAGAGAGGGGATGCTATACACTTTTAAACAACCAGATCTCACAAGAACTTACTCACTATTGAAGCGGCGTCACTGTCTGGGGTAATACGCGAGGTTCATTGTCTCACAGCCATGGAAAACTAGGACACAGACACACCAGAGGGAGGTTAAGAGCAGAAGTTTAATAGGAGAAAGAAAGAAAGAGCTCTCTGAGCAGAGAAGGGTCCTGGAGAAAACGGGTCACTGCTTCCACAGTGAAATGCAGAAGGTTTTGTAGATGAGCTTGAGGGGGTGATATCAGATTTACCTAGGGCACAAAAGATTGGTCTAACCAGGTGTGCCATTTGCATAGCATCCAAAGAATTTGGCCACCGCACCCTAACATTTGATTATGCAGATGGGTTCTCTACCTGGCCAGTGCCATGTTGCCTGTTTCTTTACTGTACACATGGTGACAAAGAAAAGGGAAGATGGAGCCTCCATGCTGAACATACCTGGATTCCAGGTAGCCCTTCTCAGATTACAGACTAACTTCATTGTATACTCCCTGAGCAAATGCCATGACCCTTTAAAAAGTATGCCTCTAATGTTCTTTAAAATACCTCTGCTTTTATTAATATATTGTAATACTTTTACACATTGAATATGCCTTATGATTCAATGTATCTTAAAAAATACATTGATATTTTCACACACCAACTTTTCTTATGAAGTCTGCCTAATCCTGATAACAAAAGATAAGGACGTTAAATGAAAAGTATAGACTTCTTCTCTAATGAAATTATGTGCCAAACTTCTGAAAGAAGGAAGAGAAAAGGAAAGAAGACAGAAGGGAGGAAGAAGAGAAAAATCAAATACAGTGATATCATAACATAGGAGAAGTAATATACTATGACTAAGTTAACTTTATTGCTTTTTAAGATTCAAAATCAAGCAACTCACCATATGAACAACTAAGGAAGAAAAACATATAATAATCTCAATAGACACAGAAAAAGTCATTTAATAAAACCAACAATCATTCATGATGCACTCTCTAAAACTGAGAATAGAAGCATGTTATTAACAAAATATAAAAAAAACAAACTTCATTCTGAATGGTGAAATAAAGATCACTTTCCTTCTGAAATTGTGAGGAGATAAAATGCTTGTTTACATTCACTTCTAGTAAATATTATTTAAAAGGACCTGATGAAATAAAACTGTCCTATTCACAGATGATATTATTATATACATAGAAAATTCAAAAGAATGTACAGAGTAAAACTATTACAAATAAAAGTACATTTGATGAGGTGTTTGGACAAAAGGGCAATATTTTTAAAAATCAACTGTATTTTTAAATACTAACAACAAATATAGAACATGAGTATTTTAAAGATACATATTATTATATGTATAATAGTATCAAAAATCTAGGAATAAATCTGTGAATTATGTGCAAGACTTATGTAGAACACTAAAAACATGCATGATTAAGAGAAATTAAAGAAGACCTAACTTAATTGTGATTTGCCATGCTCTTCAATTATAACTCTTGTAAAGATTTTAATTTTTACTTCATAGATTTATATATTTAATGCAATCCCAAACTCAGTTTTTATGGTGGAAATAAATAAGTGGATAATAAGATATATGCAAACATAGAAAGGACTAAAACTGGAGGACTTACTCTATTGGATATTGAATTTTCATAATGCTACAGTATTTCAGATAGTACAAAGGCAAACAGACAAATGTAGCGTATTAGTCCATTTTCACACTTCTGATAAAGACATACCTGAGACTGGGCAGTTTACCAAAAAAAGAGGTTTAATTAGACTTACAGTTCCATGTGGCTGTGAAAGCCTCACAATCATAGCAGAAGGCAAGAAGGGGCAAGTCATGTCTTACATGGATGGCAGCAGGCAAAAAAAGAGAGCTTGTGCAGGGAGACTTCCATTTTTGAAACCATCAGATCTCGTGAGACTTATCCACTAGCATGAGAACAGGATGGGAAAGACCTGACCTCATGATTCAATTACTTCCCACCAGGTTCCTCCCACGACACACAGGAATTGTGGGAGTTACAATACAAGTTGAGTTTTGGGTGGGGACACGCCAAAACATATCATGTAGCAAAAGAGAGAGTCCAGAAATAGGCCTATAAAAGTGTACCAATATATGACAAAAATAACAGTGCAGCACTGTGGCAATATGATAGTCTCTTCAATACAAAGATGGGTCAATTGTATGTGCATCAAATAAATATTTACCCTTACTCCTCCAGATCGACTGGAGAGAAAAATGAGACAGTTAAAATAATACAGCTTCTAAATAAAATATGCTAGAGCATCTTCATTTCCTAGAATATGAAAATAAAGCTTATTTGTAGTGTTTTAAAATTAAGAATTAAATAGTCTAACAATACTACATGTCAGCAAGGATGTGGTTTAACTGAAACTGGAGTAGTTATGTCAATATTTAGAATGACTCTGAAAAATTGGATATGTCAGAATGCACTAAAAGCTCAACAAAAATCTAGGACTATATTCAACAGAAATGTATGAATTAACCAAAATACATGCATAAAAATGTATATCTCAGCACCATTATTAAAAGCCAAATAATTGAAAGAAAGACAAATATATGTCATCCACAAAGCAATTAATTATATTTATACAATAGGATTTATACAAAATGAGAATGAAATTTGCAACAAAAAACAACATAGTTGAAACTCATAAATGTAACATTAAGTTAAATAAACTATATTCTATTTATATAAATGTTAAAAACGGGCAAAAGTAGTATATTGTGTTTGAAGTCACCACTGAACTTGGCCCTCTTCCAGGTTGCCCTAAAGCTTTTCAGGGATTTTAAAATGAACTTTCAATCAATTCTCCTACTACATTATTCTCCAGATTTTCTAAGATTGATAAATTTACTCACCTTTCTTTTCTAACCTGAAAACTAAAATTTAACTAGAATCCATGTGGTCTGGTAAAACATTTTGTGGTATTCTGGTCAGAAGTTCTCGGTTTAATCCTGACCTCACCACTTATTAGCTGAATAATTCTTGTCAATATCTTTGAAATCAAAAAGCCCCAGATCACTCACTTATATGACAGAAACATTAGTCTCTGCCTTCTTGTCATTCCACAAATGTTTCACAATCAGTTTTGGGGCCAGAATGGACTTTAGAATCCTCTGGCTCAATAGCTTCATTCTACAAACTGGGAACAAGGGGTACAAAGATCTGAGTTCGCTTACCCAAATTCACATTACTACAATAGCATATTAAAAATTAGAAGGTAATGGGTGTCACTGGGCTCACCTCCAAGCCACAGTTTGAATATAGTTCTGCTTTACTTGTCTTGCATGCCTTTGAGTCAGCCATCTACACAGGGCCTCTTTGCATTATGGTGATGCTGAACTGTAAGATCAAGCCCAACCGTTTTCATAGCCCAAAGATATCTAGGTATAGGCCTGAGATAGTCACCCGACCATAGTGCCTTAATCTGAACAGGACAATGATACCTGTGAATATCAGTGAAATGAGAATACATATAATTGGATTTCATTTCCTACTCAAGCCTATTTCTATAAGCTTCAAATGTGGCATTGGAGTATAGGATGCCCTCATGAAATGCAATCAACACTCATTTCCTTTTCCTTGTTGAAAGCTGAACCAAGGCTTGAAATGGGGAACCAGGTAGTTGTGTTTCATTTATATAAATGTAGTGTGAAAGCCGGGTAATATTGGAAGTTCTATAGCCGAGGAAATTGACCAGCCAAAAGAGCCAAACACAAATTTATGTCATCAATTCAAGGATTCAGGTCAGGGATCACAAATAGATTTTGATTCATATACCTACTCTAACTTACTTGAAATGGCTTCTTGGATTTCTGGGTTGAGAAGAATTCTGAGGCTATGTTCAGGCTAAGTGAAAAATGGAGCCATCATCAGTTACAGATAGCAGTTGTGTAGAAGGGTGATGTGGCCTAGACAGAGGGCAGACCAAAATGGAAATACTACATTTTAGAAAACCTGAATAAGAGACTGAAGCGAATCAGATCAGCATAGGTGAAACAGAAAATATCATCCAACATTGAACGATGTGGAGCACTGACACATATTATAGCTCTACATGAAGATCCAGTAGTACTGAGGAGTCTTGGTTTAAAAGAGTGTGATTTTTGTAGCAGAGCCATGCTGTTCTGGTTACTATACTCTTGTAGTGTAGTTTAAAGTCAGGTAACATATGTCTCCAGTATTGTTCTTTTTGCTTGGGATTGCCTTGGCTATCTGGGCTTTTTTTTAGTTCCATATGAATTTTATTTTTTTCTAATTCTGTGAAGACTGTCATTGTTTGATAGTCGTAGAATTGAATTTGTAGGTTGCTTTGGGCAGTATGGCCATTTTAACAATATTGATTCTTCCTATCCATGAGCATAGAATTCCTTTCATTTGTGTTATCTCAGATTTCTTTGAGCAGTGTTTTTTAATTCTAGTTGTAGAGATCTTTCCCATCCCAGATTAGCTATATTCTTAGCTATCTTTTTTCTTTTTGTGACTATTGTAAATGCAATTACATTCTTGATTTGGCCCTCAGCTTGGATGTCATTGGTGTATAGAAATGCTACTGATTTTCATACATTGATTTTGTATCCTGAAATTTTGCTGAAGATGTTTATCAGATCTAAGAGCCTTGGGGCAGAGACTACAGGGTTTTCTAGGTATAGAATCATGTTTTCTATAAACAAAGAGAGTTTGACTTCCTTTCTTCCTATTTAGACACCTTTTATTTCTTTCTCTTGCCTGATTGCTCTGACTAGGACTTCCAGTACTATGTTGAATAGGAGTGGTGACAGGGGGCATCCTTGTCCTGTTCCAGTTTTCAAAAATAATACTTCCAGCTTTTGCCCATTCAGTATGATGTTGTCTATGGGTTTGTCATAGATGTCTCTTATTTTGAAGAATGTTCTTTCAGTGCCTAGTTTGTTGAGGGTTTTTAGCATGAAGGAATGTTGAATTTTATCGAAAGCCTTTTCTGCATCTATCAAGATGATCGTGTAGGTTTTCTTTTTAGTTCTGTTTATGTGATGAATCACATTTATTGATTTGCATATGTTGAACCAAACTTGCATCCTAGGGATAAAGCCTACTTGATTGTGGTGAATTGTCTTTTTTATGTGCTGCTGGATTTTGTTTGCTAGTATTTGTTGAGGATTTTTGCACTGATGCTCATCAACAATTGGCCTGAAGATTTTTGTTGTTGTTGTTGTTTTGTTTCTATCAGGTTTTGGTATCAGGATGATGCTGGCCTCATTGAATGAGTTAGGAATGAATCTCTCCTTCTTAGCTTTTTTGGAATAGTTTCAGAAGGAATAATACCAGTTCTTATTTATATATCTGGTAGAATTCAGCTGTGAATCTATCTGGTCCTGGGATTTTTCTGTTTGGTAGGCATTGTATTGCATTGTATTGTATATTTTAGTTCTGAAGTACATGTGCAAGGTGTGCAGGTAGGCTTTTTATTACTGATTCAATTTTACAGCTCTTAATGGTCTGCTCAGGGATTCAATTTATTCCTGTTTCAATAATGTCACACACTTACAACCATCTGATCTTCAATAAAGTTGGAAAAAACAAGCAATGGTGAATGGAATTGTTATTCAATAAATGGTGCTGGAATGACTGACTAACCATGTGCAGAAGATGGAGACTGGACCCCTTCCTTATACCATATACAAAAATCAACTTCAGATGGATTAAAGACTTAAATATAAAGGCTAAAAATATAAAGACTCTGGAAGATAACCTAGGAAATACCATTCTGAAGGTAGGACCTGGAAAAGATTTTATGACAAAGACACCAAAAGCAATTACAACACAAAAATTGACAAATAAGACCTAGTTAAACTAAATAGCTTCTGCACAGCAAAACAAACTGACAACAGAATAAACAGACAACCTACAGAATGGGAGAAAATATTTGCAAACTATGCATCTGAAAAAGGTCTAATATGCAGAATTTATAAGGAGTGTAATCAAATTAACACCAAAAAAAAAAAAACCCAAACCATTAAAAAGTGGGCAAAGGACATTAACAGACACTTTTTAAAAGAAGACATACATGTGGCAACAAGCATGTGAAAGAATGTTCAACATCAGTAATCATTAGAGACATGAAATTCAAACCCACATTGAAATACCATTTCACCAGTCAGAATGGGCATTATTAAAAAGTCAAAAAATAACAGATGCTGCCATGATTACAGACAAAAGAGAATGCTTATACGCTTCTGGTGGGAATGTAAATTAGTTCATCTGTTGTGGAAAGCACTGGGGTGATTTCTCAAAGAATCCAAAGCAGAATTACCATTCAACCAAACAATCCCATTATCAGGTATGCACTCAAAATAATATAAATCCTTCTACCATAAGGATGCATGCACGTGTGTGTCCATGGCCATACTATTCCCAGTAGCAAAGACATGGAATCAATCTACATGCCCATCAACAGTAGACTGGATAAAGAAAATGTGGTATGTATATACTATGGAATATTACACAGCCATAAAAAAGAATGAAAGCATGTCCTTTGTAACAATATGCACGGAGCTAGAGGCCATTATTCTAAG
Organism: Homo sapiens; assembly: GCF_000001405.40. NCBI lineage: Eukaryota > Metazoa > Chordata > Mammalia > Primates > Hominidae > Homo > Homo sapiens. The sequence continues at coordinate 4,918 of NW_017363818.1, read as the reverse complement.
CAAACTAACGCAGGAACAGAAAACCAAATACTGCATGTTCTCACTTATGAGAGGCAGCAAATCATTGAGTACACATGAACACAAAGAAGGAACAACAGATACCAGGACCTACCTGAGCATGGAAGGTAGGAGGAGGGAGAAGACAGGAAAACTAACTATTATGTACTATGCTTATTACCTGGGCACACCAAACCCCTGTGACACACAGTTTACTTATATACCAATCTGCACATTTACCCCTGAACCTATAATAAAAGCTAGAAAAAATTGAAAAGAGAAGAAATTTGAGGACTGAGCCTGAGAACACTTCAACATTTAAGGGTCAGTAAGATAAAGAAGGTTCAGCCCACAAAGATGTGTAGTAGTTACCAGTGAGATAGGTGGAAAACAAGGAGGGTGGTTTCCCTGAAGCCAAGTGAAGAAAGAATTTCAAGGAGGATGGAGTAATCAACTATGCCAACTGCTTCCAAGAAGCTGAATAATATGAGGGCAAAGAAGGAAACATTTGATGTGGCAACATGGAAATCACTGAGGACACTGGCAAAAGCAGCATCAGTGGATCTGTGGGAACAACAACTTGACATAAGGGGTTCAAGAAAGAATGGCAGGTGAGGAAGTGAAGAAAGTTGGTATAGATAACTCTGAAATTTTGCTGAAAGAGATATGGGTCAGTGGGTTAAAAGGAATGTATTTTGTTTAGATGTAAAACAATGCAGCATGTTTTCAAAGGAATGATATCAAAGAAGGGTAAATAGATGATGCAAGAGAGGGGACAATTACAGATTCAAGTCATTAAATAGATAACCTCATAGAGCGGTGATCTTTAGGCAGGAACCAGGACAACACACCTGCTGTGACCCAAGAGAAGGCACAATGTATGGGCACCAATGCAGGTATGATGGCACATTTGGTGATAGAAGGGAAAATGATTCCCCTCTGATCACTTTGGCCAACATCCAGCTGATCCACTGATATGCAAGCAAGCCCAGCTAAAATGAGAACTGCACAGCCTAAATCATCAACCTACAGATGATTAAGATAAATACATATTTATTGTGTTAAGACACTAAATTTTGGATAATGTGTAACATGGCATTCTGGTGGACACAGATAACAGAGGCAAGGAATGTTTCATGTCTATGGGTTCATATAAAGCTGCCTCATTTTTTAATAAATGACTACAAATAGCATTGAAAAAAAAGAGAAGAATGTGAAACTCCAGCATCCTTTGGCATGTCCAAATAGCCCTGTTTCTGAGACAAAGAAAGTCTAATAAATGAGTCTGACTCCGTGCTAGGTTCTGGGAATACAAAATTGAATAACATACTCCATCCCCTTGAGGAGTTGAAGGATCAGTGGGATAGAGATGTGAATAATGATACTCAACCCTCACAGGCACCAGAATCAAATAGGAAAGTTTTTATAAATATAGATGTCAGATACAACTGGCCTAGGATGGAATCTAGGGACAGTGTTTCTTAAAACCATCTCCAGGGTACTATAATAATTGAGGATGAAGAAGAAGAATGGAAGCCTTGGAAACTTTGGATAAAGCAGAGGAGAGGCAGCCAAGGCAAACAGGACAGTATGTGTGAGATTATGGAAGTATAAGATAGCTTAATACTTTCAAGAACATACTATAAGTTTTGTTTTGTGTAGCTAGGACAGAGTATGTCTGGAGGAGCAAGGGGGTTGATACCAGGGAGGTGGGGAAGAACCAGATAATGAATAGTGTCCTGTGACAGCAAAGATCTTTGAACTTTTGCCATTCACCTAAGAGAAAAGCTCTGAGATTTACAAAGCACTCTACAAAAAGGAAATGCTCTGTTTTTACTATTAACAGCTAGCAGTAGTCTTCTGAGAGGTACATGTTTGTATCTCTCTTTCTCTCTCTCTCTTTGAAATCTCAAACAACACAAAAAAAGAGATCTGCCTTAAGGAATTGAAGGATAAACCACTTGAAGCATACAAAGGAAACTAAACCACAGAGGGACATCTCAAACGCTCTTTTTAAATTTAATTTTACCCATTCTTCCTCTCCACAAGGCACTGTTTGCTATATCTGACTATGTGAAAGGTGACATGGTATAAGAAAGAACAGTCATCACCAGATGTCAAATGACTTTGGCTTTAGTTTGGCCCAGTCACAAAGAAGCTGTATGTCTCAGCTTCCTCATTCAAAGAAGGAATTAGTGATATCTACCTAGCCTTTCTAACGTGGCTTTGAGTGATTTAAATTACACTAACATTTACTGAGCTCATTAGACCTTCTCACGTGAGATAATAAGATAATCTATGGTAAAGTACATTATAAACTTTAAAGTGTTATACAAATGTTAAGAGATAGTCATCACTAAGAAATAAAGCGATTTACACAAACTGCTCACAATTTAGGTCAAATTACAGCACAGACAAATAATGACGAAGCATACCATTAGCTATGTGTCAGATGATTTGTTGTTGCAAGTTTTATTTCGTTACAAAACTAAACTGCTTATGTCTGTAAAGCATTTTTTGTCTGTTTTGCCCAGATAGCATGGTTGTCTTCTCACAGCTTTAAAAATTAGGAATGTTATTTCTCTTAATCCATCTCAGTGAGTGAACAACTTGGTTTTAGCAAATAATGCAGTGAGTCAGTAGTGAAGATGGGCTGTGAAAGGGAGTCTCTGAATTTTGAGACTATTACTTAGCACAGTAGGTTCATGTGCCTCCAGGGATCATTGAAACTCCCTAAACTGGGGAGGTAAAGAGACCAACTATACATTTGATGTCTTACTATTACTATTAACGCACTTGGGTAATGGGTAATTTTGAGATATGTCTCTCAACCTCTCTTTCTCCTTAAGCTGTCAGTCACTTTTTTTTTTTTTTGATTGGGAGATTGTTTCTGGAAAATGTAGGATACTGAATTGTTCATTCTTTCAGGGAATAATGCCTCATTTTGCTTCTGAGAAGTATGTGTTTTTGGAATTCTATCTGTGAGCAGGAGGGAGAATAAACTACTTTTGTTATTGTTTTATTTATCATTTGGGGAAAATCAGCATGTCCTTTAGATAGTAGAGGTCAAATGACATATTGATACATGATTAATATGAAAATACCAAAAAGATCTAAATAAAACACCATTTCTGCTACATAAGGGCAAATGGTTTCTAACAAACCCATAGTCTATAGTTTCCTAGTTATAATCTTTGACTCTGTACTCAGTCAAGCTAGATTTGAACCTTGGATTTACGACTTCTCAGGTGTGACATCTAATTCTCCTCCAAACCTTTTTGTTTTTCATCTAGAAAATGAAAATATTAATAGTGCCCACTACCCAGAGTTGTTTAGAGAATTAAATGATATCATACATTGGAAGTGCGTGGCACATAATAAGTTCTCAAGACGGTGTGCTCCTATTATTATCATTGCAGAACTTTCACACTCTAAGCCCCCAAAAGTATTTTAGAGACATAAAGGAGAGTTAGGATTTTTGTCCAGACAATGGCAACCCCTCTTCAAAGTAAAAGTGGAATAGAGCAGAAGAAGTATGAAACTTGGAAGTCTAGAGACTTTCGTCTTAGTCTCACTTCTATCATTAGCTGGTTGTATGATTTTACGCCTACTGACTCAATTCCTAATCTTCCCACCTTTTCCCCCACGTTTTCTTACACATTTTCTTACACTAAAGAAAGCAACAAAGCCACAATGAGTGAATAGCTATAGATAGTATCTAGACCCTCCTTCCAGTTAAAGTGATTAATGAAATACACCTGTGGGTGAAACCTATCCAGGTCCACAGTCAATCCTAATCCCAGGAGTGCTGTTTCAGTAATCCCTGTCTCACCAGCATGGAGTTAGTTGTGTCTGATGAAATTCTCATGATCTTCTACTGACACGTGTTATTTTCTGTTGGAAGAGTCACAACTCTGACATAGGTCATGATATTCTCTGTACATCTTAACAATTTCCACATAGACCTCAGGACCAACTAGAATCTAGTTAGCAGTGGATTTATTAATGGCCTTAAATCACAGTGATAATATGTTATTTATGCTTATGACTGTTTTGGGTGGGAATTCTTGCTTTGCCCTCTTGGCTAGTATTATGGCCTAAATGTTTATGTCCATATTAAATACATATGTTGTAGCCCTACCCTCCAGTGTGGCTGTATTTGGACATGAAACTGCTAAATAAGTAGTGAAGGTAAATTGAGGTCATAAGGATGGGACCCTGGTTCCACAGGATTAATATCCTTATAAGAAAAGAAACCAGAGGCCTAGCCCTCTCTCTCCCTTGCTTTCTCGCTTTCTCGCTTTCTCTCTCTCTCTCTCTCTCTCTCTCTCTCTCTCCCTTCCTCCCTCTCTCTCTTTTCATGCACGCAACTTGATCTTGGGCTTTCAGTCCCTAGAACTAAGAGGAAATAAATTTATGTTGTTTAAACCACTTAGTCCATGGTATTTTGTTATGGCAGCCTATCTTAATCTGTTGGGGCTTCTATAACAAAATATCTTAGGCTGGGCAACTTATAGCAACAGAAATTTCTTGCTTATAGCTCTGGAGGCTGGAGGTACAAATCAAGGTGCCAGCAGCTTCAGTATCTGGTGAAAGCCTGCTCTCTGCTTTAAAGATGGCACTTTGCCATTACAGCTTCATATGGTGGAAAGGGCAGAAGGCTCCCTCAAGCCTCTTCTATGAGGGCACAAATCACATCCGTGAGAGCTCCACCCTCATGGACTAACCACTTCCTAAAGACTTTACCTCGTAACACTACCACAATGATGATTAGGTTTCAACATGAATTTGGAGGGACACAAATATTTGAACTACGGTACAGCCTGTGCAGACTAAGACAGCTGTCTTGGACTCTGTTGGCACTGGGAATTATCTGAACTAAGTCTGAGACTATGGTTCTGTTAGGATGGGGTAAATGTCT